>NC_000015.10:35398086-35701116 GCF_000001405.40 Homo sapiens | reverse complement strand
ACAAAAGCCTGTGATATTATCCCAAATGCACTAGAGTCCTGTATAGATAACTAGAGATATGTTGGCTACAAGTTTACCTCTGAGATTCCTAGCAGCCAAGGCAAAGAAAGAAAAATGATTTGTTACATATTCACTATCCATTGATAAAAACGAATCAGTTTTTATCTGGATTCTCAGTAAGAAGTTCCTGCATTACCATGTGACTTATCCCTAGGTAAATGTATGTCTATAATAGTGAATATCATTGGGATCATGCTCCTCGAAGAAGTCTTATGGCATAATCTATAGTAAGCTTCCTAGATACCAAAAGGATTCCATTTAGGTGCATTGCTTTGAAGTTTGGATTATTCAGAGAGGAAATCTGCATGAAGAAATGAAAGGTGTAGAGCTCTTTCAACATACATTTATCAAGTATTTACTTTTTGCCAGACTGTATTCTCAATGCTTCATGTGCATGAACAAAATTCATCCTTAAGGCAACACTATGAGATACATACTATGTCTCCCCATTTTACAAATGGGGAAAATAGGTACATGACTTGCCCAGGTGCGTGCAGCTATTGAGGGCTAGCTCCGAAGTCTGAGCTCTAAGCCACTATATGCCACTGGCCAGTACTGTCAGAGGTGTTTGAACCAGAGCACCAGAGCAGCTCCATCTTGAATAGGGGCTGGAGAAAATGAGGCTGAAACCTACGGGGCTGCATTCCTAGATGATTAGGCATTCTAAGTCACAGGATGAGATAGGAGGTCAGCACAAGGTACAGGTCATAAAGACCTTGCTGATAAAACAGGTTGCAGTAAAGACACTGGCTAAAACCTACCATAACCAAGATGGCAATGAGAGTGACCTCTGGTCGTCCTCACTGCTACACTCCCAACAGCACCATGACAGTTTACAAATGCCATGGCAACATCAGGAATTTACCCTATATGGTATAACAAGCGGAGGAACCCTCAGTTCCAGGAATTGCCATCCCCTTCCCAGAAAACTCATGAAAAATGCACCCCTTGTTTAGCATATAATCAAGAAATAACCAAAAAAAAAAAGGCAATCAGCAGCCCATGCTACTGTTCTGCCTATGGAGTAGCCATTCTTTCATTCCTTTACTTTCTTAACAAACTTGCTTTCACTTTATGGACTCACCCCAAATTCTTTCTTGTGCAAGATCCAAGAACCCTCTCTTGGGGTCTAGATCTAGAGCCCTTTCTGATAACAGTACCAGTACTGCTTGACTCCCTAGTAGGGCATCTCTCTCTCTTATGTGTATTATGTTCTTCCAACAGTTCTCTACCTCAAGATCTACTAATCAGCAATTATTGATACTAAAAAATATCTTTTTGGCGAATAGCGTTGTTTCTCCAACTTGTACACCAAACACAGCTGAAAGCTAACATTTTTAAGCCCTGGATCTACAATGAAGAGAAACCAATTCTCCAAACCAATTGTTACCAAAACCAATCAACCCTTAGAAATGCTGAAAAGGGCAGTTTTCTTCTGAACTCTGTAGGAAAATAGAACAAGAAATGCAAGTCAAGTTCCAGGGCTCCCAGTGAAATAATTCACCATAGAAAAGGCTCCTGACACCACAGGGAAAAGCACTTCTGCTAACACTTCAAAATGTCCCTTAACCATGCTCTTCTACTTTGTAATGATTGCATGTTTTCCCTTTGGGCCTACTAAAGTATTTAATTGCAATTACACTCATTTACATAGCAGATGAGGCTAATTGCTGGTATTAGTTACCAAATGTATGCTTGTATTGTGAGGGTGAAAAAAATGCCCTACAGAAAAGAAAACGACTGTGCCTCTAATTAAGGAGTTATGAAGTCAGAATGAGCTGGTTCCAAGATGTAAATATGAAATTGAGGGCTTTCAGAACTCTATAATGGTTTTTTATTACTCCATCTCACTTCCTTGATTACACACAATGTTTAGGGACTAAAGATAAATACAGTGCAATGTTCATAGTGCTGACCTGATTGCTAGGCATGTTCTCTCACATGTAGAGTGAAATAAACGCAGTTGTCTTGCAAACCCATGATAAATGGTGGGTTTTGAGTACCTGGTCTTCATTTACTTGGCTATTCAATTGCTAATTCTGGTTCCACTTATTGCAAAAGCAATGCTGGCATCCTGAAATACACACAATTTGGTATCCAAAGCTTGTTTTGTACATGCAGTGTAGAATAAACAAAGAAATCATAAAATGTACACGTTTTCGGGGGAGGGGGAAGACTAAAAGTTAGAAACCTCTAGGTTGTTTTGGTCTTCCTTGATTAATTTCTGTGTAGGTACCATAATGCCTAAAATATGGAATTCTGTGGTGACTTGCCTTGAGGAAGCTTCCAATTTCATTGGGGAGACAATTTATACACTTGAAGCCATCTCCGTATATATAGTTCCCTATACATTTCATGCATGGAAGAATTTAAGGCAGAATGGTAGCCAACAATAAAAGATGGCAATATTTAGTGTTAACTGTAACCAGTTCAGGGGGTCAGAGAGGCGAGCTGTCAGAAAGGACAAGAGGCCTTTGAGTAGGCATCATAAGAGAATGTTTGCTTAACAAAAATCTGCAGTGAACCAGTAGTCCAACTCTCACAGCACTCCAGCTGCCGAGACTAACAAACTCTGGTGTTTAAGAGTTTTTGTCTCCCATGATGATTTTTCACCTGCAAATTTTATTTTCCAGTTTCCCATTCCTTTTTCTTCTTTGTTCTGGATCCTCGCCACCACATCCTACACCTCCTCATAAATGAAATTATTTCATTAAAAAAAGAAAAAATAAACTTTTCAGGCTTTAAAATAGACTTGCTTAATTTTCTTTATACTGAATGCTTAGTATATGGTGTAGCGTTCAGTTACCTACACAGGTCACTTCATGAAATGAGTCTGGCTCTCAGCCAAGCTTCTGCCTCTCCCTTTTCTCTATGTTAAAAAAAAAAAAAAAGATGGGTGTTGGGGAAGAAAAAATAAGGGGAAGAAAAAGAGAAAGGATGAAGAAAATCCTCCTAGCCACCAAAAAAAAAAAAAAAATGCATTCCGTGGATACCACGGCCTCACCCTCCTTAGTAAGCATTCTTTTGAAACACAGGCCTTTGGTAAACTAATCCCAGGTGGTATGATGACAGGGTCAGCAGAGTGTTATTTTTTAAACTTGTGTGAAAATTTATTTTGAGTTTTATCTCATTCTCTGGGCACTCAGGCAGTGCAATCACTAAGCTCTGGTGCCAAATGTAAACAGGACATCCTTTCAGATATCGAGGTCCAGCTGGCGAGAACACACACCCTCTGCTTTTTGCCCTGTTCGGGAAACCAACCCCAGTCCTTTCACAGAGAGGTGCTGGAGCAGGGGAAACCTGCTCCTGCCTGTGGGATGTAAACAGAATCCTTAAAAACATCTTTTTTATCGCTATTGTTTGATGGGTTCCTTACCATCTCCTAATTCTTCTTACACCACAGCAACACCTGCAGGCTAAAAATTGTCACAAACTCCCCGTGGTTGTGATTTGTCACAAAGTTTTACATTTACTTGGGATAGGTTATATCTTAGACCATGGGATCAGAGACTGTTCGGGCTAGAAGGCATTTGAGAGCTCATCCAGCACAATTTTCTAATTTTGCAAATAATAATAGATGCTGAAGAGTGAAAAAGAGGCATATATAGCCTTTGAGTAGCCCAATCTTCAGATGAATTGCTGCCCCATATACTCTTGGAAGCAGGTGGGCTATAAAGTAAAAAAAAACATGAAGCCTAAGCTGAAAGAGCTATATGTATATGCATATTTTTATCATTTATCTGTATAACACAACACCAGAAAAAGTAAAGCTAGTATACTAGCAAGAGCTCAGTGAGGTACAAGTTTCAAGTAACGTAGAGGTTTATAGTTTAAGGGCATCAGTGAGAAACAACTAGTCAGGAAATGCCTTAGGGAGGAGGTGAAATTCCCATAGTGCGCCCTCTTCCACGCCGGCAAAGGGGAGGAAATAAATACTCGTGCCCAGGAGTTTAAGAGTGGCTGACTCCAATTCTTGTTGATACAAAATTTTATCAATTTTTATCTCTGCTGCCATTTTCATTTTTATTTTTAACTTGTCTTCTCGTTGTTTCCTACTCTGTTGCACCAACTCTGGGAGCCCCATTTCAAACTCTATAGGACTACTCTCAGATGTCTGCTCAACTCACTGACTCATCTCTCTGGAATTGCTCATAGGAGTAGCTCCCCAGCTGGCTGATATATCATTACCTCACTTCTCCACTCACCCTACCCAACTCCACTGCAAAGAGGTGATTAGATCAAGGATGAAAAGCTGATCCACTTTAAGGTCATCCACTTCTCCTAGGAATTTGAAATTCAATGATAAGAGAGTTCCATTAGTTTTTACATTCAGTTGGAAGTATGGGGCTGGGTGCAGTGGCTCACACCTCTAATCCTAGCACTTTGGGAGGCCAAGGCAGGAGGAAACTTATAGCTCAGGGGTTTGAGACGAGACCAGCCTGGGCAACATAGTAAGCCCTCACCTCTACAATCAAAAAATCCGCCAGACACGGTGGATAACTGTAGTCTCAGCTACTCGGGAGGCAGGGGCAGGAGGATCACTTGAACCCAGGAGTTTCAGGTTGCAGTGAGCTATGATTGCACCACTGCACTCCAGCCTGGGTAGTAGAGTGAGACTCTGTCTCAAAAAATAAAATAAAATAAAATAAATGGAAGTATATCAAGTGCCTCAGAGACCTGAATGCCAGCCATATGTACCAGAAGCAGAAAGAGTTAGAGAAAGAGTACTTTCTGGCTTTCCTGACTTTCCTAGGACTATTTCAATCTTTTCTAAGGGCTAGCTACACTCCTGCCCTCAGGTACCCATCAATATCTCTATATTCCTATAATAAATTCTCAATATTTACTTAAGTAGCTTGAGTTGTTTTCTGTTACTGAAAACCAAAGCTTTTCAATTAAAACTCACATCCTGGGCTTGAATATTTTCCCATTAATTCCATCTGGCCATCTGTCTAATTCTAGAACCACCCAAACCCAAGCATTAAGAGCAAGTTCAAACTAGTCCATTATTCTTTTCACCCCACAGATCTGTCAAAGGACTAGCAGGCCAAGTTCAAACCAGATTTAAGAACAGTTAACTAAAATCAGATTACTCTTAGCAGCTTTTCAAACATGCACTAATTGAATATAAAGAAGTAATCATCGGGGTCTCCAATACAGCCTAGCTCCTAGTGTATTGACTTATCAGAGCAATCTCACTTTAAATATAACTTGAAATAATATTGTTATTCCATGCCTTTACACTCTTACATTTGTATATTTAATACGGTAGTTTGCTTAAAAAATCAGTTAAACAATTATTGCTTATACAATAGTATGGTGCTATGATTTAAAATAAAACATTTACAAAAGAAGTTTGGCTTTATAATGAGATTCCTAAGTAAATCTGATTGGAGAATGGACTGGCTATGGTTAGAATTGATTTTGCTAATGTCATGTTCAGGTTTGAAAAGAGGAGCACATCTATTTGAAGACTGAAAATTTCCACTGGTCAGTCAACACACACTGTCCGTAGTCAGGTGAACATGTCAAGAATAACACTTTTAGAGACTTTGGTTCTTGCAAACAGATTATTTTCTGAAGAATCACTAATTTCCTGTTTCTTCAAGAAGGTCACAGAGACTCTGAAGCATCACATTCCCCCTCCCATACCTGGGTACCAGTCCTCCCATCAATCCTCCATCATTATCATAACACTGCCCAGGACCGAATCTAGGCTACATTGTGAAGCCGAGCTCTGTTTCAGTGTCCTCTCCAAAGGTAGGTTCTCAGAATCCCCATGCTACCTCTTCAGACCAGGAATCCTCCCTTTCATCCCCCCCATCTCCACCCTCAGCACTTTTTTCCTGGACAGTGCCCAGTGCTTTTGACTTCACCATTTTCCACCACCATTATTTATCTTTCCAAGTCCTTTTACCTTAGGACCTTGGTGTCTGCTGATAAAATGGTAAGTATTTAGACAGTTCTGATACATTAATTCACTACCTCCTTTGGCTAATTAGGTTTACATTTGAAGACAGCTTCTGGAGACAATGTTTATTAAATTTCAGAAGGCCCAGAGTATGTTTTAACCCTTTTTTGCATATCCTATAAAATGCAATGGGGTACAGATCTTGTAGTAGCTGCCAAATATAAATCTGGATTGAATTCCTGAAGATAATTAAATTAGATTAGTTATTCTAGGTTTTTCTCAATGTCTTTCACCTATCTCTCCTCTTCTTTCCCGCATATCCATATGGACATGCCAGATGAGGCTACATTAGTCAAACTATATGTGGCTCTAGGTAAAAATCATGTAATACATCTAGAATTTATTAGTTTCTTTCTGTATTATGGCCCTGTTGAAATCATCTGGACATACTGTATCTCAATTTCCTCCCCCGTTAAATGGGGTTACTATTGATCTATTATTCATAGAGTTTTTGGTAACATTCTGTTTTGTTAAAATACTTTGAGAGCCTTCTAGGAAAACTGTCAGAGAAAACTTAATATGTACTATTAAGGTTTTTTTAAAAAAATGTACGGAGCACCTATTGTACACAAAGCACTGCATCAGTTATAAAAGACACAAATATAACTAGTATTTTCTAAATTTAAAAAACTACACTCTAATGTGGAATTTTATAATAGATTATTCTACTAATGATAAAACCACAATATGAGCAACAATATTTCTTTAACTGCTATGGAAAAGAGACAAATATGCTTTTTACTTGTCTTTCAGAAATTTTCCCACAAATAAATGAGAAAAAGTTATGAAGAACCTCACGAATTACTTACAAGTTGTGGCCTAAAGAACATAAGCAAGGATCTGAATAATTTCCTATGCTTGATTAGGTGGCTGAGCAGAAACTGACCTTCTATCTACAGAACTGTCCTTTGAATGCCATTTGTCTCTGTGGACTCGAGGAATTTACTGTGGAGTGCCTTGCCAACAGAGTGTTCACCTTGTTAATATTAACCATGAACTTCAGGTCCTGCTGTATGTACTCAAAAGGCAATATAACATAGAACATCAAAGCCCAAGAGACAGCTGAAGAGAAATGAAGATAACAGTTAAGCTAGGGAAAACTGGAAAACTTCGAGTGGCTCTAAACAGAGTTCCCCCTACCCTCGCCACACAACACACTGACCCTGTCACATAGTTTGGTTGCTAGGTTGAATTTAACTTATTCCAAGAACTTCCACCTCTGGAGAACATATTCAACTGGAAATGACAAGTGTTACGGGGAAATGCTAAAATTTTAACATATAGTCCCCTTCGATCAATATTATCTTACAGAAAATCCCAGAAATTTTAAGGTCAAATACGCTAGGGATATTCTGAGCATTCATCAAAGATGCTGTTGTTAACTTGTCTCTTAGAATAAGGTAAAACATTGTTTTTCTTCCTAATTTCTGTTCATATGGAGGGAATGCATTTCTGAAAAGAATGTACTTTAAATGTTCACTCCAAAAACATGCAAAGAAATTTAAGAGTGAATCATATTCTCCCATTCTGCAGTTGGAGGCTGACCTGCCAGCATCTTACTCAACACTCCAAAGAAAAAGACTTTTCTTGTCTAAGAGCGCAGATAAAAGCTCTCACTTCAAAACTTTCCTCTCTTTGTAAGTCATAGTTCTTTGAGTCAGGACATGAACCTAACATTAAATGCAGCTGTCCAAGAAGTAGGTGTGCACAGGAAATGGGAAGGTGATAGGGAACAGCAAAAGGGCATTTTTATCTGGTCTCCGGGAAGGCTTGTGGAAAATTTTCCAGATATTTTATGGAATGACAAGAGAGGTAAAAAATTCAACCTTGGAGAAATATGGCAAAATTATTAAGGCACAGAATTTTTATAACTTTAGGCATATAAAAGTTAATGGGGTGTGTGTGTATGTGTTCACACAGGCACAAATATATGTGTCTATGTGCTTTAATTGGTGAGTGCTAAAAATAATTCAAATCTTAAACAGTTATGTTTTTTCCTTTTTTATCCAAATATTTTTATCCAAATTTAAGTTATGGGTTCAGTTAATTTTATCTGTTACTTCTGTGTGACCTTACTACAGAGTAAGGATCTATCACTCAATCAATAAGGAATTTCTCTACTTTCCTGCTTCCATATATTTTCTATGATAATTTTTCCTGACCACCACTCCCTACCCTTTTTTGTGTGTCTACTTTGTGAATTCAGCACACCAAGTAACAGAATTGGGTTCTGAATATCAAACATGCATTGAATTCTTGCAAAGAAAGTGAATATGATTTATTAAAAAATATATTCACCTTAAGACATACAATTCAAAAGTTGGAGTAAAGTGATGAATCTTGGACATCACTGTAACTCTGCAGGCTACGCTTTTTCATATTGACCCTTGACCTGGTCTGCTGACAAATTTACAGTTTCAGAGAAGCCTGGAGTGTAACAAAAAAGCTGATATTCTCCCTTTGTATGTGCTCCTTATCCCTTTGTATCATTTTGTGTTAAAATAGCCAGCTTGTCAAGTGCTTTGGCCTTTCAGAGATGAGCACTAGAAATACAGGAATACATAGATGTCTTTTTATATAGGCTTTTTCCACCAAATTTAGCTGCAGGGGGATATAAAAGACAAATGTGTTGACAAATGACAAGATGTTACTCACTGTAAAAATATTATTGCATGCACACAATTTCCTGTTATGGTGCATATATTGACTGCAACTTTGTTCAAAATGAACTGTATATTAAGAGAAACATCTTGCCTTGTGATCTGTTCTAGCTTGATTTTGAATTCTCTGAAAGCAGCTGTTTTAAAAAAAAAACCTTGCCCTAAACCTAATAATCACAAATAGACATGAATTTTCCCATGAGAGGCCACAAATTAAAAAAAGATTTTATTTGGATCAAAAGCGGTTTTGTCCAGAAATAGATAAAAATATTTCAGATAAAGTATGTGAAGGATGTGGCTCTGGAGACACATTAAGGAGTGTAACTGCCAACCTCTGTTGAAATGAGTGTTCTTCAATAATGATGTACAGATAGGCATATGGCTATTGAATTTATTATCTATATTTCACTTAAGTCAAAGTCTTTAAAGACAAATTGGGCATCAGAAATAGCATTCATGTTTGTAAGGGCCTCAAGACCCTCTTACCTCATAAGTGTTAATGTATAATTGATTCTAATGCATTGATTACCCAAAGAATATGTATTGTAGTTCCAATGTCTATGAGCAGTAATAAAAGGATCATGTAGTCCAATTTCTTATTTAGCTGAATTGAATCATCTTTAGTATATCAGCTATTAAAATGATATAATTATGAATTCATGTATAATAGTTTTTATTCTTCATCAAACATTGGCATTCTGAAATCTAGGTTAATATCACATCACAAAATCATAATGGATGAATCAAATTGGAGCCAGTATCTGGAACAATTATACATAAACAGAACAAACCTGAACACTTTCTACTTACGCAATCTGGTGCTCTTGAACATATAACTCATTTGGTTTTTAAAAAGTTATGTCACAGAGGGCATCAGACCTCTGCTAGGGTTATGAAACTAGATGTCTTATTCTAGTGACCTCAAACAGTTGAGGCAAAATAGCTCTAGCTGAAGGTTATTCAGTATTCTACATGTTAATTACAGTTGTCCCAGTGGTGTATGTTATGTCTGGAAATAGCACGACAAGCAAGCCCATTCTGGATTAGACAAGGCACCCGGTAGACACAACACTGAACTCAAGGTCTGTATTTGGGCATTGGCATGAGCAAATCCTAACTGTGTTTGGCAGAAATGCAGGTCTAATGATCCTTTCCAAGACTAATCCAAACACAAATGAATGACTGGACTTGGTAAAGTCTTTGGCATACCGCATTTCAGGCAAGAAATAGGTCCACTACTTTTTCCATTCTTTTATTTAAAGTCAGTATTTGATTCTAAATATTTCCTACTCCCTGTGCTAGTCTACATATCTTACAGGGCTACCACACAAAGAGGCAAATATTTTTCTGTGGGGTGGGGATTCTATTGAGGTCAGTGTTTCAGAGCTTGGTACAGGATGTCCCTTCAGCATTCTGAATCCTGGCTCAGTGAAATCACTGATAAGCCAAGCTTTTACTCTTGATTTCCCACAGAGTTGAAAAAAGTATAGCCGAAGTGACTCAGGAGAAATGGGGAAAATGTGTTTTCCCAGCCCAGCAAGCTCCTCCTGTACTCCTCCACCAACCAACATACTCCCACACACTCTCTCTGGCTCTTTTTTATTTTTTTCTTCCTCTTTGGCTTATGCTGTTCTTTTTTGGTCCCTGGCCCTAGTTATGACAGCTGATTGACATTGCTGGCAGTTCCCCTGGTGTCTGGTTAGGCAGAATTCCCCCTGCAAAACTAGGATACAAAACAAAGAGCAGACAACAGTGCAGAAAGGAAGGCTGAACAAAACAGAACCAGGAGAGATGCAATATTGTTTGCTGAAAATATTTTTAAATTTTTCAAAAAGAGGGAGCAAACCTTTAAAAGATTGTTTTAATCATCTGTGTTGCTTTTTTCTTCCCTCCTCTCTTTCTGGCCATCCCTTCCCCCGACCCTCTACATACCATTTTTGGCTTCCATTTCTCCATCTGCGTTCTTCCTTGTATTTTTTTTTTCCTGAGTCATAAACATTTTATCAGTCAGAGTTTTTGCTATTTCTGACCTACCTCAGAGCCAAACATTTGTTTTATCTTATTTATTTTTCCACCTGAAGAGTTAAATCATGATTGTATCAAGTAGAATTATGAGCAATTATTGCCCTACCTCCTCCCATTTCAGACCTATCTTTCACTGTCCTGAAGAAAACTAGATTTTTTGCTGCTTTCAACACTCCCACTATGAAGAGTCCAACACTCCCATCCAAAGATAATCTTTTCTAAAATTTTTTCACATGATAAATGGACCTCTCTATTTTCCCTCTACTTAACCATCTATTAAGTGGATCATTTCCCTGAGAAGTTCCTCTCAGTTCTCTATCATATTTCAAAAGATCACAAACAATTATGTTCATTGAGGTGTTGGTAAGTTAATATATCATCCTTTTGCTAGTACATGCCTTTCAATAAATACTATTAAGGCAAAGAAATAAATATCAACTGATGGAAACTCAGGCTTCAGCAACAGGACTTTTGAGTTATTTTCTGATTTTATAATAATGGCAAACACCTATAATTTTAGGACAGAGGTTTGTCAGGTGTATTAGGCAGAGTTCTAGCAGCTCCTTAATCTTCTTTTTCTTTCAGCAACTTCATATAAAATGTGAATTTAACTTTTATGTTACTCATGTTAATATACTTCCATAGTTTCTCTACCTCCACAGAACATTCTCTTATATTATTTTTGTGTATGGTAAAAATATATGATAAAAGACTTGCATCAGGAATTTTAATGAACTCCTAAAACTCCACACTAAGAAAGAACAAGGGCTAGGCACAGTGGCTCACACCTATAATCCCAGAAATCTGGGAGGCGGAGGTAGGCAGATTGCTTGAGCTCACAAGTTTGAGACCAGCCTGGGCAACATGGCAAAACCCTGTCTCGATAGATAGATAGATAGATAGATAGATAGATAGATAGATAGATAGATAGATAGATAGATATTCAACAATTAGCCAGGCGTGGTGGTGTGTTGCTGTGGTCCCAACTACTCACGAGGCTGAGGTGGGAGAATTGCTTGAGTTGCCTGAGCCTGGGAGGCAGAGGTTCCAGTGATCCAAGATCGCACCACTGAACTCCATGCTGTCTGGGCGATACAGCCAGACTTTGTCTCAAAGAACAAAAAAAAAAAAGAAACAGAAAAGAAAAAACAAGCAACCCAAATTTAAAATGTCAAAGGACTGAACAGATACTTCACCAAAGAAAGTACTGATGGTAAAGTAGCATATGAAAGGATGCTCAATAGCATTAGTCATTAGAGAAATACAAACTGGAGCCATAAGATACCACGACAACCTATTAGAATGGCTAAAATTAAATGACTATGCCAAGTGTTGCTAAAGATGTGTAGGAACTGGAACTCTCATACACTGCTGGTGGAAATGCAAAATGGTACAAGCACTTTGGAAAACAGTTTGACATTTTATTTAAAATTTAAACATACACCTACCTAATGATCTAGCCATTTTACTCCTTGATATTTACTCAAGAGACATGAAAGCATATAGTCATACAAAGACTTATACACAAATGTTCATAGCAGCTCTATTTGTAATAGCCCCAAACTGGGAACAACATAAATGTCCATCAACAGGTGAATAGATAAACAAATTGTGACATTTCTGCACAATGGAATTACACATCATTAAAAAAGAGCAAATTGATAATATGCACATGCAACAACAGACAAATCTTAAAACAATTACACTGAATTTTTTTAAAAGTCAGGAAAAAAGCATACAAAATTGATGTCTTAATTTAGATAAAACTCTAGAAAACTGCAAATGAATCTGCAGTCACAGAAAGCAGACAATAATTGCTGGAAAAGGAGCAGAGATGGGCAGGAGAGAGGGTTCACAAAGAGGCACAAAGAAGCTTTATAGGGTGATGGACACATTCACCCTCTTGAGAGTGATCTTGGTTTCACATGTCAAAATGTGTCAAATTCTACACATTAAATGTGTATAATATAGTGTATGTTATTTATACCTCAATAACACTATTCAAAATCAGTATGGTGGCTTGCCTTCTAAAACTTCTTTGCTCTGTTTTTCACCCCTTCCATTTAACTGTCCTCTTTTTCTGTTAAATTTTAATCTTATTTCCAGCAATCTTTCCTTGTTGTAGAGGGGCCCTGTCCTAGAAAGGAGCATCAGTTTTGAGAGCTTATGGGAGCTAAACAAGAACCATGAAACCCTTGAACTTTTCTGTTCTTAGAGTGAGCAAACTCCCACATTTTAGTCACTGCTATGAAACTGGCCTTCCACATTTCCAGGGAATACCTGTTGACTATCTGGGGGCTCTACTCTTCTCACCCCATTGCTTCTCCCTACTTTCTCCCTCACTGATATCAATAGCATGCAGCTCTTGTGTCTGTAAATGGTTTTTCCTCATTCACTTGTCTTTTTTTTCTTTCCTGAGATGGAGTGTCACTCTGTTGCCCAGGCTGGAGTGCACTGGCATCATCTTGGCTCACTGCAACCTCCACCTCCCGGATTCAAGTGATTCTCCTGACTCAGCCTCCCAGGTAGCTGGGATTACAGGTGCCTGTCACCTTGCTCAGCTAATTTTTGTATTTTCAATAGAGACGGGGTTTCACTATGTTGGTCAGGCTGATAAACTCCTGATCTCAAGTGATCTGCCTGCCTTGGCCTCCCAAAGTGCTGGGATTATAGGCATGAGCCTCTGCACTCGGCCTTGTCTTTTGAAGTTCGTGGAGATATCTTATCACCCAGTTTTACGTAAAATGTTGTCTATGGGTTGTTGATTTTGCTATTCTTTGTCTGTTTTCATACAGACTTGGAAAGTTCCAAAAACTATGCTGCCACTGCTGCCCCTATCTTCTCAAAATCCCTAGTTGAGATTTTTCTGAGATTTTTTTGAGTTTTTGAAATTATTTTTGTCAGGCATACACTGATTGCTCTGTTGGCAAAAATCAAATACTGTGCTTTAGTAAGGCCATACATCCTAAAACTTGTCATGTATTAAGTAATATGTATTGAGCATCTACTACATGCCAGATTGGTTTCAGATTTGGGGGCTATAGCGGTGAACAAGGTAGATATGGTCCCTGCTCTCATGGAGTTTAAATTTAGAAGAAGAGACAGACTGACAAATACAATAAATAAACATACTAACACGTTATTTCAGGTTTGAAAATTATCAGCATGCAAGTAGTAATTGAAGCTTTGGCAATAGATGATGTGACTTGGGGAGAGCATGTTGAATTAGAAGAAGCAAAATTCCCAGATAATTTTAAGATTTTAGGTGCAGAATTAGAAGAGGATGAAGAAAGAAAAGCAACAGGGGTGGAAGTAGGCCAGGAGAGATCAGAGTTATGAATGAAAATGGAGAAGAGTTTGGAAGAGGGAGACGTAAAATGATTATTTCATATAGCTTGTCCAGTAAGAAAGGAGATAGGACAATAGCAGAAAAAATATGCAAACTCCCAACAGTGTGTTTTGTTATTAAGAGAGAAATTTGGTGGTTTTGGCTTTGATGAGGAAGCAACTGGGAGGGAGAGAATGCAAAGACAGTGATTTTGTACCACTAAATCCATGTATAAAGCACTCTCAAAATTTCCTAGCATGCTTTGTTAAAAGTAGGCTCAGGCACTGGCTATACAAAAATGTAAGACTCCATCCAGTCCTGCCCCATAAGATACTCATAGTCTAGTAAAGAGGGTAGGCAAGTAGACTCAATTTATTAATTACATTAACCATCTTAAATTGGCTGCATCAGCACTGAGTGCTAGATTGTAAACTAGTTGGTGGAATTTTATTCCTGGAAGGGACCTTAGCAAGTATCTACTTTCTTTTTTATGTGATTAAACTGAGTCATAAAATGTTTAAATAGCTTGTCTAAGGCACAGCTCATTAATAGAAGATTCCCGATTAGGAAGGAACACTGTCCAGACTCCCAGGGTCTGGACAGTTTTTTTAACTTAAACAGTGTAATATCTTACTAAAGGCATGCACATTTATGTTATTTTTAAATACCCTATGCATGTTTAAAATATTTAAAAATCTATATGGTCAATTCCAGAAAAAAAGCAGACATAGATAAAGCTGAAACTATCCTGCTATCAACATCTAGAAATAATAATCTAAAAACACAACAAAATTTTTAATGCATATCTAAGTTTGAAAGAAAAAAAGGAAATCCCAGGTAGGCAGAAACAAAGGAACTGAAAGCCCTAATTGTAAGCACATGAGCTGACTCTGCAGCAGCCTTCGGGTAGGGTCCTCAAATTTGGCAACAGCCAGGGGCTTAGGATTGCAAAGCATATTCAAGAACAGGAAATAAGAACTTGGGCCTTATATGATGCAAAGATTTAGAATTAAAACTGAGCACAAAGTCAGGACCTTCAAAGCCACACCTTCAGAGAAAAGGAGAATAGGAAGAAAATAGACCACCACACAAGGGATATGTCAAGGAAGCTCGTCTATCAGCTCCAGGGAAAAGAAAATGATTAATTAAAATCCCAAGCCTGTAACATGCACAGACTTAAGACTAGATGGAATTTATATAACCTTCATTGTTCAGGGTTCCTCAAATGACAAACTAATAAAAAAAAATTGGCCTTAGGGACACAAGGCAGAAGTAAAAGTAAAACCACTATGGAGAGATACTTAAGTACAGAAAGCAGATAATTTACACACACACACATACACACACATTCCCATGCACACACACACACCACCTCTAAAGATATTCTCATAGTTAAAAGTTACAAAACACACATAAGCAAGAGCCAGTAACAAAATCAGTGGGAGGATTAACTTCTTGTAGCAAATATTCATTACCCTCCTAGCATGCCTTGGACCTTGGAGTATACCATTTCATGTTTCTTGTCAACTTTCACCTGTAGGTATCTGTACATCTTTACCGAGGACTGCCTCTAAAGCAGCAGCATAAGCCTCGCATACAGCTGGCTACATGTTCCAAGGAGTTAACACTCAACCAATGACTAAGATATAAACACCCCAGCTCCCTTACTCCTAGGTAGAAGAGGGACATGCGATTAACTCTGAAGCAGGTGTTCTATGCTATTTCCCACATGCTTCCTTCACCTCCCAAATAAACCACTTGCACTTGAATCTTCTGAAGGTTGACTTCTGTAGACATTAGAAATAATAAAATAATAGAATAATAATTTGAATAAGAATATAAAATATTTAATATTTAAAAGTGTTAAAGACATGAAAGAAGGAATAAAAACATAGGTAAAGAACAAAACCTGTGCCAAAAGAAGAGGCAGATTTAGAAGAGAAATGAAAAAAACTTAGAGAATAAACAACTGCAATCACTGAAACTTCAGTAAATGGGTTAAACAGAAGATGAGATACAGATACTGAGAGTCAATTAATGAACAAAGGCATAAATCTTGGAAAACTACCAAAGAATACAGCACAGGGAATACAAATTAAAAGAGACAAAAAAAAAAAAAAACCATGAAAATGAGAATAAGAGCTATAGGGGACAGACAAAAAAGGGCAAATATATCTCTAAAAGATGATTTTAAAGAATTGGAATAGAGAAAATGATATGGTTTGGTCTGTGTGCCCACACAAATCGCATGTTGAATTGTAATCTCCAGTGTTGGAGGTGGGGTCTGGAGGGAGGTGGCTGGATCACGGGGTGTATTTCTCATGAATGGTTTAGCACCATCCCCTCAGTACTGTTCTCACGATGGTGAGTGAGTTCTCAGTGAGTGGTTGTTTAAAAGTGTGTAGCACTCCCCACCCCTCTCTTGCTCCTGCTTTTGCCATTTGAACTGCCTGCTCCCGCCTTGCCTTCTGCCTTAAGTAAAAGCACTCTGAGGCATCCCCAGAAGCAGACTCTTCCATGATTCCTGTACAGCCTGCAGAACCATGAGCCAATTAAACCTCTTTTCTTATAAATTACAATCTTATAAATTAGCAAGAACTTACTAATACAGACAATATTCAAAGATAGAAATGGCTTAGCATTGCCTAACTTAAGGGAATGCCTATATAAGGCAAATCATTTCAAGCACAGCAGACTTCTCTCAATAGTACCAATAGATACTAAATAATATCTTCAAAGTGTTAAGAGAAAATAATCGCCAACCCTGAATTCTATGCGCAGCTAAACTATTACTCAAGGCAAACTAAAAATATTCCTCAGATGAACAAAAACTGAGAGAATCTCCATTTACAGACTATTCTTAAAAGAACTATCAAAAATTGGACTTTATAAAGAAGAAAATTACGGAAGAAATAAATGGAATGTAGGAAGCAACAATGATCAAAGTAACAGATTAAATATGTAAAAAAAAAACCCTGAAGAAACATTGACTATAAAAAGTAATGGTCACTTATCTAGAAGGAGGAACTAAAACCAAGGTTGTTCTAAAATCCTAGATAATACTAGCATGTAAATAGAGATGGTAATACAAGTTAAAATACTCTAATGATCTTGATCTTGTATTGCTCGAGGGGAAGATAAATATAATGATCATTTTAAACATTGTTGAGAAAAGTATGCATATTAAAAATGTCAGGATAACTACTAACAAAAATGGAAAGTATTTCTACTAAACCAGTAAAGAGAAAATAGGAAAATAAAGAAAACTTTATCAACCCAATGTAAAGCAGAGAAATAGAAACAATGAACAACAACAAAAGGCAAACAAAAAAAAATCACAAAAGGGGCTGTGCACATACATACACATCAGTACTTACCGTGATAATAAATGGACCAAGAAACTTTCAGACTGGATTTTTGGAAACTAGCCATATGATATTTTATTTTATTTATTTTGCAACTTTGGCATTTTTTTTTTCTATTTTAGATTCAAGGGATACATGTACAGGTTTGCTACATGGGTACACTGCATGATGCTGAGGTTTGGGCTTCTGATGATCCCATTGCCCAAGTAGTAGACATAGTACCCAATAGGTGGTTTTTCAACCCTTGCTCCCCTCTCTCCTAGTTATATGATATTTTAAAAAGACTCAAAAATATAGCATAGATAAGAAAAATAGTAAAATGGCATGTTTTAAAATGAATATTATCAGTAATTTAAAAATGAAAGAAACCATTGAACAGTTACACAAATTCATATTGTTTAGCCATTGCTATTCAACAATTAGCTATTGCTATACAACAAACCACCCCAGAGTTCAGTGGGTTAAAAACATAACTTTTATAATTTCACATGAGTCAGGTCAACTGGGAACTAGTGGGGGATATGGGCCAGGATCAGCTAAATTTGACTGGGCTCATTTGCATCTGCAGACAACTAGGGGGTTGGCAGGACTGCTAGTCCAGGATGGCTTCATTTGGATGCTAGCTCCTGACTGAGGCAAGGAAGAGGACTGTCAGTGGGTTGCATGTCTCTCATCCAATCGGCTAGCGTGAGCAGTGACAGGATTCTAAGACAGAGGAGAAACACAAAAGGCCCCTCGAAGTCTAAGCTTCTAAGAGGCACACTGGTATTTCTACTTTACTCTATAGGCCAAAGCAAGTCACAAGACAAATTCATTTTCAAGAAATGGTAAAAGTGACTTCATCTCTTTATGAGAGGTGCTACCAAGTGACAGCCAAGAGCATAGATGTCTGTGGAGGACATTAATTGGGATGATCAATACAATCAAAATACCACACTCAGAAAATACTAACAAAAATAAAGTTAATATCATTATAATATCAGATTAAATAGATTTTAAGGTTAAGAGCAACAATACAACAGTCAATATATATTATGAAAAATGAACACATCATCAGGAAGCTATAATAATATCAAACCTATATCTACCTAACAAAAAACCCTAAATAATTTGACTGAATTAAAGTGAAAAAATTTACAAGTTTACAATTATACTGAGAGATATTAAGGAACCACACAAGTTAATAAAAAAATAAAAATTTATAATTAATGAGGATATACAAGATGTAAATAGCAATATAATCACAATCTAAGGAAACTATATAGAACTCTGCATCTAAAATTTAATATATGCACAGTACTTTTATGCTTATATTGGAACATTTACAAAACTGACCATGTATTTGGCCCAAAACAAAGTCTTAATGAGTACCAAAAACTTTGTATCATGCCAACCATATTATATCTCTCACCACACGTCACAAAAAGAGAAAAGTCACAAATATATATGAAAAATATAGCTAGTACCTCAATGAAAAAGGTGGTACCCACTCCCATCCCCCCATAAAAGACCCTTCAGTTTGGAAATATAAAATTCACAGGATAATAGATAAAATTGAAACTGTCATGGGAATTAGCAAAATATTTAGATGTGAAGAACAACGAATATGCTACACATCAACATTTAAGGGTATTGATAAAGCAGTACTTTAAATATCTGTTAAATATGGGGAAATGGAATTGAGAAGAACAGGGTGAAAAGAGTTGTTCAATTTTTAGACCACGTATTCACTGTTTGAATATTTTAACATTGTAAATGTATGCATAAATTACTTATGTACTTAAAAATAAACAATTCAGAGGAAAGGGGGAAATGATAAATTAGAATGTGATTTTGGAAAATAATTCTAATAGGAAAACTTCAAATATAAATGTACATGCATCCATATATATGCATTCGAGAGCAGTCTAGTTGTTGAAACTTGTACTCAGGAGAAACAATACAAGGCATGTTTCTGTACTACATACAGATCCTTCCAATACATCCCTTGGAGTGATTCTAATGACTCCAGGTTTGTATTATTTTCATATTGAAATAGCCCTCAATAAGAGCTAACAAAGACTTCATTATATAAAGATTCACTTCATTTATTTAACATGTTAATTGTGTGCCAATCACTCTGCTAGATTCTTGGATATAACAATGAATATGATCATAGTAATTTCCTAACGAAATTTGGAATTAGTGGACCTTGATGGGTGTCTGTGCTCTATATTCAATACTAGAGATATCAGGAAGTCAGTGGTAATACATTGTTTCTGGAAAAGAAGAGAAGTCAAAACTGATTAAAAATGCAATAAATTAGTAGACATCAGAAAAATCCAAAGCAAAATTAGCAAAGATAAACACAGAGAAAACAATGGTGGGGGTGGACTGGGTGGAGACATGGTTTTTTCCCCCTGAAATAGCCTGCATGCATGGACTTTTAGACTATGAAAATGTCCTTTTTCCACCCCCACCACACAATTACAACCACCTGTAAAATCTCTGTTTTGTAATATATGTCCTACCCTCACTCATGTCCCCCAAACAGCAGCAGCACATGCATTCCAGAGGTATGATGTATTTCCCTCCATCAAAACAGTTCTCAAAATCAGAAGCATTTCAACTGTTCTGAACTTGTTATTATCATACTTTCTTGCTGCGTTTGAATTTAATCTTCCCAATTTCACTGACAATTACAGAGCATGCAGGCAAATTTTCTAAGTAGTTATGCCTAGGGGGTTCCATAAAAGTAATGCTCTTACAGACCATCAGAGCATTGGATTGACTAAATGGTTTCTGAGAAAAAGGTCAACAACAGCTGAGCAAGCCAAATTAGACTGAAATCCTAAGTATTTAACCCACTGAGGTATAGAAGAATAACATGTGGACCACCAGAAAGAAGCCACAAAGGTAGTTGTCTTTATTACATTTCTAAAAACATACACAATCTGTTGGGCAAATAACTGTACTAGAAGAAATAATCTGAAAGATTAAGACAAACACTTGAAATACAATATTTTAGAAGGTGAAATGTGGGACTTCAACCGAAGTGCTTTCAGAGTATTCATATTTAAAAAGGATTTCCATTTTCATTTTCCAAAGAGACTTTTGGAATAGCAAAGGAAATACAAAAATATTCCACATTAGATAGGAAAACAGAGATCCAAAAAAGTAAAGTGACTTAACTAGGGTCATACATTAGAATTTAATGTCTCTGTTATTGGCAAAAAAGAACAACAAACCTGTTCCTTCTAGTCATCTTTGACCTGAGGACCATTGTATTACAAATTTAACTCCATCCTTTAGAATTCTCCCCAAGTCCTGAATTTTGATTGCTGAATTTACAAAGTATAAGATACACCTGAAACTAGGTCTCTTCTTAGATTTCTGAAGTCTGAGGCAAAGAAAAAAAGGAAACTGGTTATCTGTGTTGGATATTTGTGTATTCTCTGATAATTATTGATTTTGGTTCCTTAGTAACAGAGGCACATGTGGCTGGAGACAAAATAACCTACTGTCTGATCAGAAGATGTTACAATGATGCTACTCAGTTGAGAATTTCTTTAATTTAGCTCCAGATAAGAGATAAATACTTACATGCTGAAGGGATAAAAGAGAATAAGTGTCAATGCATTGACTTGAATCTTTGGCAATAAATCACATTCTTTGGGCCAGTTAGTTGTGAATAGCTAATCACTTCAATACTCTCTTTTACTGCATAGAGAAGATGAGCCCCTGCTAAATATTTATAAATGGCAATTGTCTATACAAACTATGCCATTTTCTGATGTGAGGGAATGCAAATGAGACTGAGCAAAGAACTAAAAACACCAGCTTGCTTTTCCTAGGAAAGTATATCCTGGGATCCTTGGCACCTTTCTATTTGCTATTTCTATATTAAGCTAACCTTGAGCTAAAGTACAGTGGGACAATGAAAATAAATGAAGAGCAAAAAGCATGTGGAATGGTTAAGGAGGGCCAAGATCATCAGTCAAGTAGGTGTGGGAGGAACAAAGAGAGAGAAATCACAGTTTCTCATCTAGTCTGAGAGGGAACATCTACACATTTGGAATGATTTGTCAGGTATGACAAATGACTGGCAAATGTAAACTACTAAGCAAAACGTCGATTAACCAGCACCATTAAGTGATTAGCATGAGTTGCAATTAATTTTACTTTTTCAATTCATATGTGTTTAGCTTGCTGGAAGAGGAGATGGAGAAGCAACACACACTTTTATTGTTTAAAAACTTTCTAAAATATGTTTTTGGACCTTTGTTATTCTAGTAAGCGTAGTTATAGTAACCATGGATATTCAATTTTCTGGGACAGCTCCCATTTCAAATATTTGGCCTCACTACTTCTGTAAGTATATTTGCACAAGACATGACATGTTTCCAGATTTGAGGTAGATGATCTCCATTGAATCTTTCATTCAGGATTTTGTAAAGACTTGAGGCTGTCAGGCTGAGCATCAGCAATCTCATATACAGAGGCAGATTATGAAGTGACAACAGATTGCCATAAATGCATGCTACACATGATTTAGTTTCTTTTGTGAAAAAGAAATCTATGAATTTATTTTATTAACAGTTTTTCTTTAAAAATAAAAAAGGCATATCAAAAAGATTACAGTTTGTTCAAGAGTTCAGTTCATCGATCTAACAAAGAAGTCACAAACATAAAGGAAACCTTGTAGAGATTTTATCAGAATTAATGCAGTTATTTCAGACATTCGACTTGAGTTATGGCTATGAAAATATAAACTGTCATTTTTGATTCATCACAGTATTAATTATAATATGAGACAATACAGTGTAGGTTAGTCCACTCAAAATTTATTCCCAAAAAGTTTCTTCCTTTCCTCCCTCTACTCTAAAAATTGGTAAGTTAAATATTCAATTTCCTGGCCCCTATTATAACTAAGATGGTCATGTGGCACAGTTCTTCATACTAAGAGATAGGATGAATTCTGCTGAAAAGTCTTCCCTTCCAGAATAAAAAGGCAAAGCATTACAAGATAATAGCTTCCCCTTTTCTTGCTTGGAAGACATACAGAATGGATGAAAGCTTAATAGTCTTCTTACACTAATGAATCAACACAGCAAGTAAAACATGACAACCCCAGAGAGGTGGGCCCTGATATTGTTAAGCTGCAATGTCATTGCCAAAAACAACCCATTTCTGGCCTCTTTTGTATGCAATAACAAAAAAACCAATAAGCATCTTTTTTCAGATATTGTTTATTCTGATTTTTACAACTGAACACACCCCTAACTACTATTAATAAAAATGTCAACCGGGCGCTGTGGCTCACGCCTGTAATCCCAGCACTTTGGGAGGCCAAGGCGGGCGGATCATGAGGTCAGGAGATCGAGACCATCCTGGCTAACACGCTGAAACCCCGCCTCTACTAAAAATACAAAAAATTAGCCGGGCACGGTGGTAGGCGCCTGTAGTCCCAGCTACTCGGGAGGCTGAGGCAGAAGAATGGGTGAACCCGGGAGGCAGAGCTTGCAGCGAGCCGAGATTGCACCACTGCAGTATGGCCTGGGCGAAAGAGCAAGACTCCATCTCAAAAAAAAAAAAAAAAAAAAAAAGAGTATTCTTTTTTTTACTAAGTTTAACAAGGGCACTTTCCCATGAACTGTTCTCATTGTTTCTAACCACTAACCCGTGCAGTTTATACTATGCTATACTATACTATACTATACTAATACTGAAGTATTAGTCATAGCAGTAGTGTCAGTAATAACAAGTATAGTAATAATACAGCAGCTTAGATTTATAGCATTTGCCATGTACTGCTAGTATACTAAGGGTTTTGTAAGTATTATCTCATCAAAGCCCTAGTCTTTTAAAATCATCCTCAAGATTTTTCTAAACGATACGTTTCGAAAGCACATGTAAATTATTCTTATATAGTTACCAAATTCAAATTTAAAGTACAAATAATTCTCAGACATTTTTTAAAGTCAAATTTTTTTCCAAGAGACATCAGTAAGAGGCATTGTAGCCACATTTGAAAAAGAGGGCATTCTTTCTTTCACCCAGCCCATCAAGTAGGGTTTAGTACCACTCCTTTGCTCCCATAATGCCGTTTGGATATCTCCACCAGACGTTTTGCCACATTCTATTGCAGTTAGAATCTGCCTATCTCCCCCACAGGATTTTCTTTTTTTTTTTTTTTTGAGATGGAGTCTTGCACTGTCGCCCAGGCTGGAGTGCAGTGGCGAGAGCTCGGCTCACCGCAAGCTCCGCCTCCCAGGTTCCCATCATTCTCCTGCCTCAGCCTCCCGAGTAGCTGGGACTACAGGCGCCCGCCACCAAGCCCGGCTAATTTTTCTGTACTTTTAGTATAGACGGGGTTTCACCGTGTTAGCCAGGATGGTCTTGATCTCCTGACCTCATGATCCGCCCGCCTCGGCCTCCCAAAGTGCTGGGATTACAGGCGTGAGCCACTGTGCCCGGCCCCACACAGGATTTTCTTACGCACCTTTGTTTGGGTGCACCTAGCATACTTCATATAACATTGCAACTACTCAATACGTATTTGTCCAGTAAACAAATAAAACTTTTAAATATCATCTTTAACTTTTTTCCTGTAATAACTCTGCTCTTTGCCTTCAGTTGTTTCATTAAGTTATATTGTCCTCTATATTTTTGCCTCTAGCAAAATTTCTGAAAAATATGCAAAGGGCTTAGAGCAATTTGACTTTGTGATTATGAGGACTGGTGCACTACCAGGATGTTAGCCTATTTTGTTTAATTTATAAGGATGATGAGCCTCTGACTTTCCTTCACCTCATTAAACAAAAAGGAGTCAAAATAGTAAATTTGATGTTGAGTCAAACTACTTGTTTCACTTAAGGAATTGCCAGTTCAAACAAAACAGTGATTGAAGCACAGTCTATGTCCAGATTATATGTTTGAAATGTGAAAAATAATTCCCCATAGGCTAAGACCTCTCTATACCATTTGGTGTTTTTCCAACATCAAAATAATG
Source organism: Homo sapiens (assembly GCF_000001405.40). Taxonomy (NCBI): domain Eukaryota; kingdom Metazoa; phylum Chordata; class Mammalia; order Primates; family Hominidae; genus Homo; species Homo sapiens. The sequence continues at coordinate 35,676,716 of NC_000015.10, read as the reverse complement.
GCAGAAGACTGGGCTCAGTGGCTCCTGCCTGTAATCCAGGCACTTTGGGAGGCCGAGGGGGGCAGATCACTTGAGGCCAGGAGCTTGAGACCAGCCTGGCCAACATGGCGAAATCTGTCTCTACTAAAAATACAAAAATTTGCCAGGTGTGGTGGTGCACGCCTGTAATCCCAGCTACTCAGGAGGCTGAGGCAGAAGAATTGGTTGAACCCAGGAGGCAGAGGTTGCAGTGAGCTGAGATCGTGCCACTGGACTCCAGCCTGGGCAACAGAGCAAAACTCTGTCTCAAATCATAATAATAATAATAATGGCAGAGGTTTTTATAAGGTTAAACAATATATAAACATAAACCCCCCTCACATACACATATACACATTTACACTCACACGCGTATTTCTATGAAAATGTTTGGCTCACTACACCTGTGCCAGAATCGATAATACTGTTAAATTTCAACTTCAGGACCCCTTAAAAATAGTAACAAGGCCAATAAAACCCCAAAGTTGATGGGAAAAAAAAACATGTTTTGTCTCTGAATCCTTTAAATAAATGATTCACATATACAAGATCAGCCAAATTTGGCTTTTATATTTACTATCCTAGTGTGCTTTGTATATTGAGAAAGCAACAAAATTTTTCAAATTTCAAGGAATTGCATTTGTGTCATTAATAACTATATTCTTGGAAATAAACTCATTATTCTCTCTGTCATAAGGTTTTACACAAAGGGTTATGTAAATATTATTGGTCTATGTCTTGTTTTGACCATTATTAGTTGCAAATTTATGCTTTTTAGAATGCATTGAGTCATTAGATCAATAAACATAAAAGGAACTAAGGAAAGAAAACTGTTATTGCTGTAATTGTTTCATAGGTCTGAAAAGCTATCTATGAATAAATTTTTTCAACGAAAAAACTCAGTTATAAGATTTTGGTTGCTTGTCGTTAAATTGCACATGTTTGGGATTATATTATATAAGGCAACAAAATTGTGAGCATCATCTTTCCTTTCTTCCTTCTGAGCAAGCAAGATCCCCAAAGTAGCTTTGAGGATACTTTATTTATGGGCCTGCTAGTTCAGGAGCCACACACCAATTCATCATGCTCCTGCTCTGTGCCATCTGTTATAAATAAATATCCCTGCCTGCAACTTTCTGTCGGGGCATGTGTTTACTGTTATGCAGATGAATGCAATATGGGAAGACATTAAAGTTAAAAAAGAGAAAAATTGCTTATGAAAATGTCTATCGAATGTATATATTCCTACTACTTGTGTACAAAGGCTCAGATCACATGCAGGCCTCTAGCCTGAGCAAGCACTAACTCAGAGCTCCTCGTTTACCTTGCAACTAGCTGGGGAATTGCTGAAAACAAGCTAGGCCAACACAGCCAGGTTAACAAAGACGTGCACCACAAGCGCCTTTTTCCCTGAATCCTTTTAGCCATTTCATACAACATATTGTTGTGACTTTGGGGAAACAAGGACAGATAGGTAATGTGGGAACAGTGTTAGAGAGTTTTGAAGGCGGCAGTCAGCATGCAAGCTGAAGAGTGAGGAGAAGCCTCCAGGGGCCTGTGAGAAGCAGAAAGACATGGTCAGAGCTTTCAGGAAGCAAAATAATTCTGAGAAGTGTGCAGAAAATGTTTGAAGTGGAGAGCGCCTGGGAGACTGGGAATCAAGCCAAACAAAAAAATGATGACAGTGACTCTGAGCTTGAGAAACCCTAAACAACCTCTGAAACTAGTTACTGAATGCTCACAAACCTAGGCCAGTAGAAGCCTTTTTTCTCCCAGAGCATTTTATGCTTCTTCTAAAGCATCTTTAGCCAATAAAATTAGGATGAGGAATCTGAAGACATTCATCTGACTTTTGGTTGCTTCAAATGATTGTTTATATATTAAGTTTACATACTGTTTATTAATACATTTATCACTGATTAAGAGTATATATAAATATAATAATGTTGAGATTACTTTTTATACCAGTAGTACATGTAAAAAAAAAAAATCATTGTTTTCAGTGGTGAAATACAGTGCTACTTAATACAGGTAATTTTACCTTAAAAATCTATTTACAGTCATGATTTACTCTTCATGCTTTTTTTTTCATAGTTTTTTAAAAAAAACCTATATAACTTAGCTGTGAGTTTTTTGTAGATATGTATAGCACAGGTAGAATATTTACTTGGTGAATCTATATGAGGAAACGGTACCTCCAAATTAACGTAAGAGAATAAATGATTTTCTGACTTCAAGAGGAACTACAATCCTCATCCACAGTGTGTCATTAAAGACTTGATATATTTTTCAGTCTCTTGATCCATTTTTAAAAGTCTCTTCTACCAACATTTTAGTATGCTGCAATGTTTTCTGTTAGTCATTTTATTATTTCCTTTCAGGATTTAATTCAATACTTTTTGATATGCTTCTCCGAAGATTAATTGTTCCTATTACTTATCTTTAGAATAAGATGACTCCTTGAGAATAAGCCCTGATCCTTTCCTTTTTGATTGAACTTAAATATTTCTGGTTGGGAAGCAGGGAGTTTGCAGATGAATTTAAATTAAAAAAAATTCATTTTATTGAATATGGATATCATTACTTTAACCATTTTTTTTTTGCTCATAGTATTTTCCAAAATTTTGAAACCTTCCAGAATGCTAAACTGCTTATTAGAAGAAGTAAGTTGCTAATAAGAAAGCACCTACAATTACTCATTATTTACCAAATTGCTTGATTCTGGATTGTAGTCATTGCTAAAAGTAGTAAATACTGAAGAATTGTAGAAAAATATTAATTAATGCCCAATTACACTTCTCAATCACAATCTAAATAGATTCACAGGTCAGGAGTGTAGACACTACCTGTGTATTTCTCCAACTGGAAAAGCTAGAAATTAAGAAACAACTTTCACACCTGGAACCTTTAAAGTGGCAGAGTGAATTGTACTTTTCACTCTCACATTCATTTAAGCTATTGCACCAGCAGTTATTGGAAATGGGCTTTGCACTAAACAAAATTCACATTTGAGTAAAGCTGAGTGTGCAGCATGATTATGTATGGCTAGACCTTAGACGGTTGGGGTGGGCTGGGGATGGTTGCAAGTTTCAGGACATGATATCTTCTACTTTGCCAATCAGGCTGAATGTTTCTTATTTCCTTTCCACCTGAACTGTTTGCCAGATAGGAGATGGCAAATAATGAAACTGATAGTAACTTTCCAGTGAGTAAGAACAGTCCCTTCTATCTGAGAGGAAGAATGTCGGGTCTGCAAAAGCCAAGTGATCCACAGCACCCAAGAGGAAAAACGCCCCAAGTGACTCCAGCACCTTGGGGCTCCTCCCCAAACAAGTCCTGTGCTGCTATCAGTTTTGATAAGCAGGCTTTCCTCACCCATGAGGCTATAACATGATAATGTCATTCAATAACCCTCACACCCTTTCCTGCTATTTGTCCGGCACAGGAAACTAAGGATTTTCTTGTCGTGTGGACACAGCGGAAATATCTAGCTAGCAAATACTGACCCTCGCATGCAAACAGACCCATATCCTCTTTCCGCCTGACAACTTCCTTCCTGCATGCTAAGAACAATCTACCCTTCTTTTTTTTTTCCGGACTTTATACTAACTACTCTGAAAGCCCTTGGGGAGAAGACCAAAGTAAACTTCCACTCAACAGCTGAATTTTCAGACAAATAGGCTGACATTAACATGGGTGAAGGTATTGAAGATGCCCTCTAAATATGGTGACATTGTATTGGTAACTGTATCTATACACCACAAGGAACCCCTGTGCTTTGCAATTACCTGAAGAATTTGGCCTCTAAGGACAACTGCACTAGATGTTTCAGATCCAAATCTAAAGTATTTAAAATTATGTCATAGGTCAGAAAGGTCTCTTCTCTAGCTATACTGCAGAACTTGACCTGTTATTATACTATTGTCTTCCAACCTAGGAATTTAAAGATATAGAAGTTTACACCTAAAGAGGCAGAGGATCTTACTGTTGCACATCCAAATAACCAGCTAAATCTACTTTGCTCATCCAAGCAGCTTCTTACTAGAGATTTTCAAAATCACTATTCATTTTTGAACTAGGTGGTAAGACCTGGAAAGGTAAGTTGTTTTACTAGCTAATCACATCTCACACCTCAAGCAAAGGCAGTGTGGCTTTTCAAATTTCTTTCTGAAATACTGAAAGCTTAAGCCTCATGGTCAAACAACCTTGTGAGTGTGGGCTACATTTTCTCATAAGAATAACTTACGGATATTCAACAAACACAAAACTAAGCTCTGAAAGCCTAACCCAAATCTGAAAAAAAATATTTCTAAGCAGGTTTTGCATCCTTCCATGGAATTAGTTTCTTAGAATTTGGTGGTTTATAATGGGCAAAGTTAAAAAGCTCATTGAATACTGTTGTCAATAATTCCATTTGGTTTAAAACATTTTACTTCCTGGGCAAACCTAGTATCAGGATATGCCACTGCAGCTAAGTCTCAGAGGTGTATAACAGGCACGAGAAGGCTATTAGTTGAAAGCAGTGCTGCCAAGCATGAAGTTTATCCTTAGCTGCCTCTTGCCTCATATGTCCTCAAATGCTCTCCCAAACTCAAAACTTCCACATATAAAATGATACCTAACAATGGCAGACAAGAATAAACACTGGCATTCCTTTATGGCAGTTGCAGAACTGGTGAATAGTATTCATGGCCAAATGATTACCTTTTATCAATTTATCCAACTGATGAGTTTTTACATATCTAAACCACACATAAAAATTTATTTTAAAAAATATAAAATAGTAAAGGAAGGTAAAAAGTATTTTGGGTGTTGTCACCAGAATTCTAGTGAGGGAGGAACTAAAACTCAGTCTTCCAACCCCCAACCAATGATTCAGTTGATTAGATATTTCATCATCATGATCAAATAGAATAATCATAAAAATAATATTAAAAATATCCCAAACACTTGTTAAGTGTTTATTTTGTGCCAGGAAATGTTCTAAGAGTCTACATGAATTATCTTATTGAAACCTCTCTAAACTCTAAAAGGCAGATATTATTATTTTGAGGTATTATGTTAATATCTGATACTTACTGCATGTTTACCATGTAAAGGGCACTATTCTAAAAGAACTAATTAAATAATCCTAACAGAAACCCTGAGATGGAAGTGTATCACCATTTTCACAGATGAAGAAGCTGAGACAACAAGACTAAGTAACTTGGTCACAGTCATAGAACTAGTAAATGGTGAGGCTGGGCCTATAGGAATCAGGGAACCTGAATTTCATCACTCTAAAATGTAGTCAGGACCTTGAGTGAGTCACTGAGTCACAGGTTCCTCCTCTCTAACATGGGTCTAAAATTAATTTACCCTCCCCCTTGACAGGGCAATTATCTGGGCCAAATGAGAAAAGGTGTGTGAGTAATTAACAAGAAATTTCTCTTACTCTTTACAAACACAATTTAAAAACACTAGAGCTAAAAGACAGGCTGTATGCCAATTAAACATAAAATCCACATTGCTTGTCTTGTGGCTTTTTGTTTCTTCACTTTCTTTAATGATTTCTGAAATTTTCATAAGCTGGTTCAAAAGAAAGCAAGCCGTGCCATTTTGAGAGCAAAGAGCAATTTACTTTCTAATTGATTGGATAAAATGTCAAGAAAACGAAGAAAGGGGAAATGGTATTGGCTGCAGCCATAAAAACAACCCAGTATAACTTGTATGAAAGTTCTCAAAAAGCACTTTTAAAAGAATAGAAACTTAAACATCTATTCTACAGTTATATGCCTAAAGATGCTGCTACATCAGCTCTAATATTTATCCTTGGAAGCAAAGAAGCGCTGGGGTCAATTTTAGTTCAGTGCTTCCTAAGGGCGCCCTGATCTCAGAGTGAAGGTGCAGGGTACGGGAATAGGGATACTCAGCAGCTCCATCACCAGACCTTAGTCTTAGGGATGCTCCTGCACGCACACACACACACATACACATGCACACACACACACAAACACATGGCCCCAATTCCACAAATACATCTCATTAGAGTACTGACCCTCTTGGGAGTAATGGGTGGCACATATGAATGAACACATACTTCTGAGTGGATTGTCAGTTTGAGTTGGGAAGATGAGATTCCAGAGCTCGAGAGAAGAGTCGTTTTAATAATTTTTCATATTATCTTTATCTTTTCTTCCTTCCATAAGGATGGCTGGAGGGTGGTAATAACTAATGCTTATTGAATACGTTCCTTAGGTAGGTGCTTTGCTGAGCGAGCCACATTATCTCTCCTAATACCACATTCCTCACTGTAGATGTTGTTATGATTCCCATCTTAAGCATAAAGAATTTGAGGAACAGAGAGGTTAAGAGTGTACCACTTGTAGGTGACGGAGCTGTGATACACGAACTTACAGTTTGGCTCCAGCTTCCATGTGCCAAATATTAAGGGATAACTTCTGACAAAAAGAGAATAACAATTAGAAGAATAGAAACCAGTGAATTTATTTTAATAAATCGACAGATAGTTGTGCCAATGGTAGGTATAGAGTGTGAACGAGGTAGCTGTGTCTTATTTTTGTCAACATGGAGCTCACTGTCTAACAGAGAATATAGATAATATGTAATTTTAAGCGTGTCCAATCTTCTTTAGAGTTAAGTACACGTGCTAACAGCATCTCTCAAGAACCCTTAACCTAGTCTATGGGATATCTGAGGAAGCAGCATTTACACAGAAAGGAGAAGGATAAATAAGTATTATGTAGATAAAAGGTGTATGAAGTACCCTGCAGAGATAGACAGCAGTGTGGGTGCGAAGACAGGAAGGAGTATTTATTTTAGAGATGGGATCTGGCTACGTTGCCCAGGCTGGAGTGCAGTGTTTATTCACAGGCACAATCATCATAGCAGCACTATAGCCTCAAACGCCTGGTCTCCCACCTCAGCCTCTTGGGTAGCTGGGATTACAGGCACGCACCAGGATACCTGGTCAGAAGGAGCATTTCAGTATAAACCAATTCCATACATCTCTACCCACAGGCTACTCATATGCAAAGGATGATGCAAGTGTTCTGAGTCAACAAAGATGAGTAAGGTAAAGCCACCCCATTCAGGAACTCTCAATTCAGTGGGAGAAGCAAACCCATACATAAATGCAAGAAAAATGGGAGTAGCTGACATAAGAAGAGTCAAACAAGAAGATGTAAGAGGATAAAAAGAGAAATTAACATTGACGTTGAGAGAATCTTTCAACTGGCCCTTGAGGGATGTGCATAACCTTCAAAATGTGGTGAATTCTCCACTCCTGAATGGAGAACAAATGAGACAGCAGAGGTTAGCCTAGCAAGTGATGAAAGCGCTATAACTCCCCCCACCAGCCCACCAAAAAATATGAGTGAGATCCTGAACCAAGGGAATCAGAAGCAGCTAATGAAAATCAAGGCATGGCCATGACAGCAGCAGGGAGAGCAATAGGAAAGGGCTGTGCTGAGCAAATTCTTGGCATTGTTTACAATTCGTTGTTACCTTCCCAGGAAGTGTGATACTGGGAGGGCAAGCTGAGTTAAAAGGCAGAGACAAGAAGGGGTAGATATCTGCAGCAATGTGAAAAGAACCAAAAAGGTAAAAAGAGAGTGAGAAAAGACATTATCTTGCCTCAGGGGACAACAGCGAAAAACATAGTCCAGAGACCTTTTTATAGTTGTGACCACACAGCCCCTGAAACATAATAGCTGGCCATTGTGTAAGTATAAAGAGAATATGAAAGCCCCTGAAATATATACGTGATCTGCACAGAAGCAAAAACATGAACACAGTCAAGTGAAGGAAGAAGCTGAAGAACTGACCTGTGACTAATAAACAATTGTCAACTCCCTAGTACAACATGCCATAATAAATAATAAAAAGTAGAAATACACCTGTACAATACACCTGCAAGAAATAATAATACATAACAAACATTTGTACAATAATTTATAGTGCCTGAAGCATATATTTTGACATATATTATTCCAACTGATCTTGTAAACCACCTGTGAGATAAATGTAAATCATGTCAAAATGGAATGCCAGTAGATATGTATCTATTGAGAGATAAATGACCAAGAATAAGATTCTAAATACCTGAATCTGGTCCTAGACCAGTCAATCCTCTACAAGTTCCCTGAATTAAAAAACAAAAAAAAAAGTTCAAGGGAGCGAAAAACTATTTCTTACTGCAGTAATTGGGGCTTTGACCCCAACACTGACATAAGACTCTAAAATTCTGGTATGAGCCGTGTGGAAGATTTCCTTCACCCTAACAAAGTAGACTCAAGTAGAGGAAAGTGAAAGCAGTTCTCAGGGCTTATATTGCCTCCTACCACCACAATCCAAAACTGAATATCAGATCTAGCCATTCTAATGAAAGAAAAAGCCAAAGCAGAATGCATATGCCAGTGGGAAGTAGGAGAAATTGAAAAAGCAAGGGAGTAGCTGCCCTAGATTTCAGCCTGGCCACTGATGACCTCTTCCAAGTCACTCTCACTTCACCAGTCATATGTTAGCAAGAGAGATGGCCTATTACCCCTAAAAGGACTTATCTAAGCTCATGGAGTGGGGGTGGGGGAGCAATTTAAAAGGGCCACATTCGTATGTGAGCCAGCCTTTAACCTGTCACAGCCCTTGGCACTGTGACAACAGCATGAACCCAAACAATTGATAGCAGCATTCCTCTGGAAAAGAAGCCCTCAATTTCTCCTACAGAGAAGTATTAATATCCCTAGGGGATGGTTAGTGGGTATAAAATATTAGTTAGAAAGAATAAATAAGACCTTAGTATTTGATAGCATAACAGGGTGACTATAGTCAACATAATTTAATTGCACATTTTAAAATAATTAAAAGATTATAACTGGGTTGTTTGTAAGACAAAGGATAAATGCTTGAGGTGATGGATATCCCATTTACCCTAATGTGGTTATTATGCATTGCATGCCTGTATCAAAATACCTCATGTACCCCATAAATATTATATATACCTACTATGTATCCATAAATTTTATATATATATATACACACAAAGTTTTTAAAAAAGAAGTATTAGTATCCCTGTTTCATAGCTGTCAAATGACTTGGCTCAGAACATGCAATAATAGAAAGTGAAACCAAAAATGGAATCTAGATCTCCTACTATTTTAATGCCCTACTCTTGGTTAAAATGAAAATTTGGGGGGTTTATTAAATTAAATCTTCATTATGTGATTTGTATATTCTGAAATAACACCTTTGTTTCCAAAGTCCCACTTAAAAACTCATTTTTGTGGTACAAATGCCTTAAGCAAGGTAAAATAAAACATCAATCTTGTCACCATGCTGATGTCTTCTTAGAAACACATATGTGACCAAGAAGGGTCTTTGAGGACCACAATCCAAGGCTCATACTGCTCTAGTTGCTGAATGTGAGGAGGGCACAGAGCAGCTGCAGACCTGAGACCACAAATATTTGGTGATCTTGAAGCAGGGGCCCTAGCTGTTGTGTTTCTCAATATCTTTGCAAACACAGAGGAAAGCATCAGTAGTTGTAAATCTTGTTCTAAGAATCAAGGTTCTGTACTCAGATGCTATTATGACCTGTCAAGAAGTTGGTGGGTATGCTTTGGAAGCCATTTTAATCTAATATTTTGCCTATGAGAACTTGTTTGGTTTTAATAAAAGTCCTCAATAAAGATGCATTCTTCAGTACATCATTTCTCTTGCTTCTAATTTTAGAACTTGGTACATAAAAGCTAAGAGAGTGTGAAGGAAATAGATGGCGACCTTATGACATTTGGCATGATTTCTGAGGCAGGTGTCAGATAGGTTCATAGGTACTATCTTGCCAAATCTTATCAAAACCTAAAAGACAAAAAGAGACAAAAAAAAATACACACTTTATAATTGACATCAAAAAGGAAGTCATTTTATTTTTAGTACATTTGCTTTGGAGGGACAGCCAACTAATTGGAAAGAGTCCATAATTTAACCAACATCAGATCTCCTCATTACATTTCCCATTGAAACTTAATAAATGTTAGTTTCCAGATTTACTGACTTTACAGTTTTCTCCAGTTAATGATCAGCAAGTACTTTTTATTAACGTAAATGAAAACAAAATGAAGACCTGAAATCCTGTGATCAAGAATTTATTTTTGGCAGACAAGCAAAATTGTTTGGTCTATTTTTATGGTTGATATAATTGTATTCAAAACCCATAAACAATGTACATCCACGTCAATACTTTTTCGGCTGATCTTTGGTCATAAACTCTAATTAAAACAAAACATCCCTTAGGTAAATCAAAGGAAGTGCCATTGAAATAATATAAACACCCGAGGAAACCTTGGGCTGTTTCCACACTCAAGTCTGATTAGATGAAAAAGCACTAAGCACTTGTGTCAGTAGACTAACCAATAGAGTTTATGATTATGAGAACTGCCTCTAGTATTAAAGATCTTTGGCATAGTTTCTGGGAAAAGTTGTGCCAAATTTCTCTATTCCAAGAGAGAGTTTTCCACTTGGAAGCTGTTGTATCTATAAAGGCTATCTTTCATGAGCAGGGTGTCCTCTATTTAGCTGTCAGAAGGCCTATCGCAGGATTCAGACTGTCTGTCCCATTTGGCTGATGTCATAAACTTGCGCTAGAGTTATGGCAGAGAAAACATGTTTTCCATTACGCCCGCGCCAAAGTGTTGATTAAGGTGGCACATGTCAGACCTGGGAGTAGCCAGCATTCGAAAACTGTTTAGACCTTTTACAGATGCTGAAATTGTTTCCAGAAAATTCAGAGTCCAACTTGTCTTATTGTTCCTTTTCTTTTATTAAGAGAGAAAAGAACCTAGGGCCTTTTGTGCTTATTTTTAAGCTAGTACTTTAATTTTGAATTTTTATTTTTTACCACACTTGGATCTTTGTTTTGTGTTTGTGGTCAAATAATCTTTGGATATTTAACAAATGGATTCTATACAAGGCAAAGGTTTCAAATTTTACTTGAGATTTAGTGTTCTCTGTAAAGGGACTTTAAGAAAATTACTCCTAACCTTTCTAGAAAGCTGACTTCTTTAAAAAATCTATTATACATTTTAAAAGTATTATATATTCTTTCTTAGAAAACAATTGTGTGGGATCACAAACCTTACCCGGCACACTTAGAGTTCCAAGGGCTTCAGGTTAATGACTGTCATCTAAATGAAGACCGAAATAATCATATAGCTAGCAGAGGATATTTTTATTTGTAAGTTGGAATATAGTCCCTCCACAAAACAGAAATACCAATGAGCTATGTATTTTAGCAGCTGCTGGGGTTTGGTTGATTCTTGTTGTTCGAGGAAGTAGGAAAAAGCAGAGATTATTCCAGAGGCCCGCAAGCCCTTATGTATAAGTCCTCTACAAAAGACCAACACCTTGGAGAGTATATTGGTTGCTAAGGACCATCAGTCAAAACTGCATCACTTTCCTTTTGGGAAATATACAGACCACAGCTTTAAGGTGACAATGACTACTGCGGATATACAGATCCTGTGGATATACAACATATACTGTGGATATACAAAAAAGGCACAACTAGTTTTTGCCTTCAAGATAAGTACATTCCAGTGGAAGAGACAAAATTGTACAGATAGTAATAGAAGTTGATTGGCACTAGGACACAATAACACAAAGTGGAGTGGCTCCAGAAGTATGTAGGGTGTATGTAGGGCAGGAGGGGTTTTCTTGTGCTTAGATGAGATTCCTACTGAAATGAGTTTTAAGTTGAATAAGCATTACCCATCAAGCAGGGACAGTAGAGTTCTAGACAGAAGGAACACCATGTGAAAACACGTGGCAATATAAAAAAGTGTGACACTTTAAAGAAAGTTCAGTAGTCCAGTATATGGCTGAGACACGTGATCCTATGGAAGGAATTATGAGGTTGTGCAGATAGGAAGGACCATGTTAAAGATTTGAATTCTACCATGAAAGCAATGGAGAGTCTGAAGCATTTTATGTAAAGTGATGACATGATCAGATTTGTATTTTGAAAAAGGGTATGAAAAAATAGTTTGTAGGTGAAAAGGTCTAGAACAGGGAGCTGCTCATAGGCGATTGCAGGAATCTCTGTGGAAATGATGGAAGGTGTTTCCTAAGTCAGTGGCAACAGTGATGCAAGAAAAGAATACAAGAGATATTTAGAAACAGTTTTGATTACTTGGTGATGGATTAGATGTGGAAAGTAAGGAGAGGCATATCTGATTATAGCTCCCAAACTTCCCTGATTCCCATTATTTACACCGGTAGATTTCAACTGGGGGTTATTTTGCCCCCCAGGGAATATGGTAATCAGGAGACATTTTTCATTGTCAGAAGAGGAGGGGATAAGGAAGGCAGAAATGCCACTAAGCCAGGGATGATGCACCAGACAGCCCCTCACAACAAGGAATTATCTGATTTGAAATATCCACAGTGCCAAGGTTGAGGAGCCTTGTTATACAGCATGAAGTAGATCTCTTGCCCTAAAATTGAAAGCACTTTACAATATTACCCAACTTCCTTTTCAGACTAAATTCCTATCTCCCTACAACTGCTCTTGTAGCAACCAAGCAAAAATGACCTATTTTGATGTCCCAAACATGCCTCTCGCTTCCTATCTTACCAGTCTTGGTTTTACTCTTATTTTCTCATCCAGAAACATTCTCCTTGGACCCATAACTTTCTGTCAAAATGCCACTGCTATCTCCTCCACAACGTCTTTCATAATCTGCCCTCCTGGATATACTCCCTCCCTCCTCTGCACCTCTTTTAGGCACTTATTACATATACCTTGTACATGTAATGCTAGCTGATTGACATTGTCTTATCCTACTGCCTGAAGAAAGAACCTGATAGAGCAGCATAGTGCCTTCAACAAAGTAAGCATGCAATAAGTACTTGTTGAAATTAAGTATGATATTCTAAATATCAGTTGTCTGAAATTGTCAATGCTTTGGCTTCCTTTTATGCATGTGGGCAATTTGGAGCTGACAGGTTCTCATTTATAAATGCTAAATAATATGCAGTGCCAATAAACTGCAACCAATGCTTAGTTCTATAAATGTTGTATTTTATTAAGAAATCAAATATACTTATCTGCACAGCCCATGAACTACCTCAGAGTTTCATCCTTAAGTTCTTCCAGTCCAGGTTTTGGATTTGCTTGGTAAAGCAGATGTTTAAGATTCCTTCCACATCTTTACACACTGATTTACCTGTCTACCAGGTGTTCTACATTGCCCTCCAACTGCTCATTTGAAGCTATTTAATTCTGCAATACATGTTTCATTGCTGATATCCTTAGAACATTTTTCTGCCTGGTAAAATCAAACCTATTCTTTGTCAGCCTAATAGATGCCACTAAACTACTTCATAGAAATACTGGGAAATATGAATGGCATGGATGACCAAGACTTTGCTTCTGGATTTTTACCTTATTGCCTTTTGACTTTTATAAGACTTACTTAAGGACAAGGATTGAATATTGCTTAGTCCTCTGAGGGCCGTGCATTCATGACAGGCATATCCTTCACCAAGGCACTAACTTATTTCTCACCACCTGTGAAACAATTTTTTTCAAACCTTGTAAGATCTATGAAATTGAAAGAAACCTGTTAATCACCTATTACTGTATATGGTGAGGGTAAGCTTGGCAGTCTGGTTGCTACCGCTGTGTTTGGCCTTGGGCTATGTGCAACACCCTCAATATCAGGGCACAGGCAAATTTTCAGCAGACAAAGTGGCTTAAAAACCAAACTATCCTCCAAGCTATAGAGATCTTCTCTCTGTCTGATATAGCTGGTTTAAAAAAAACATATGGGCAAAGTATGCTTTTTCCCAAAACAGACTTTTGCGAATTATCTGCACCAAGGTGGCTGTTATATTCAGGTCAAAAGGCTATGGCCCATCAACTTTCTCCCAAACAGTTGAGCCTTTGTGGCAATTGGCTTTTAGGGATGAAGGCCATTTTGTGATTCAAAGGGTAAATGATAGGCTCTGATTTTATTCTTCTGTTTTAGTCTATACTTAGTGCCAATTAATATTCTAGGAGATAGATAGATAGATATATAGAGATATTAGATAGAGAGAGAAAGAGATGTAAAATAAAGTCTTAGGAGGTCAGTTCTTCCTAGGAAGATTAAAAGTTGGAGGAGAAAAAGTCAAAATGCTTTGATGTTTCCTTGACCTCATTATTCTAGTCAGAATTATAAGCCATTACTTCCATCCTCCTTCCTCTAAGTTGATCTGGGTAAAGGCATTTTTCTTATCTGTGCCTAACCGAAGGTGAACATATTTCACTATAATATAAGCCCCTGAAGACCATGGGGCTTATATGTCTTTTTAAGTTTTATTCATCTTTATTTGTCTTCATGCCAACTGGCCCAGAGCTTTGCATGTTTTAGGTGTCCAGTAATTGTTATTGACTTTATGTTTTGTCAGCCTGTGGTATGGAAACAGGTGTGGTACGAAATGGCTCTGACAAACCTCTCTAACTACAAGTTCTCTCTGTCTAAGTGTTGAGACTTCAGTTTTCAGATGAAATTCTCAACTAACATTTATCATACTGATTTAAGAACTCATTTGTGTTTTGCAAAATCTGAAAAAAGTTAATTTTATTTAGAGATAAAATGAAGAGAAAAGGAGAAAATTATTACTATTAGAAAAGCAAGAGACAGATATTAACTGTCAAAATGACCCAAAAATGTAATGCCATTAAATGCTGTTAATTATATATTTTATTCAAGTGTTTAGATTGTCCAAATGTGTATTTTGATGCATTGTTTCAGTACAGTAATAACATTGAAATGAAACATAGTAAAGTGCAAATAATAGATATTTCACTGGGACTTTTATTCCCAAACCAATACCTCTAACAACATCCTTCCAAAAATGTTCAAATAACATTCAAGGTCTACTTGAGCACAAATTCAGCCAATATAAAATGAAGTACTTATTTGTCCATTATATGTTAAATATTAACAACTTGTATAAGAATGATTCTATATAAAAGTCATAAAACACTTTTTATATCTTCCAAGAACCTCTACAGACTGCTTTGATTCTCATAATCTTGAGGTGAACAGAAAAAGCATTGTTTGTCCAAGTTTACAGGTAAGAAAACAGTGGCACATGATTTTAAATAACTTGCCTGAATACATCTTTTTTTTAGTAAGGGGCAGAGAGAGGAATGTCACACATCAAATTTAATGGCAGACTGTGCTTGACTCCTCTATTTGTATCACCAGGACATACATCACAGAGTGTGAGGACATGCTAAACACTCAAACATTTGAATCATTCATGTATTCAAAAGTGATTTATCAAATACTCATAATGAAGGAAGGAAGGAATAAAAATAATCTGACTCTAAATGAGGGTTTTATCCAAGCTGTACAGATAGTAAATTTAGAATCAAGGTGGAAGATGCTGTCATATACCTCCAGATTACGCTTCAGGACTCAGGGATTCCTTCTCTCAACACAGATTCTTTCTCTCAACACAGATTACAGCTGTGTCTCTCTCCAGAAATTGCCCTTGGTCAACAAAAACTGCCTAAGTTTCTGTTTTCTTTGGGGGACAGCTTGTATCCAGTGACTGGTCAATGCAAGGTCACCAAGCCCTTTCCCACAATTTAGGATATCTCTAAAGGATAACCCTAGCTTCAATACTCCCTGTGGGATCATCAGAAGCTGCTACTACAACCACATTGTAGTTCAACATCTTCAGCTGCCGAATCACGTGGCCCTTGCTTCCTCACGGGTGTTGATCCTGAGAGGGCACCTCCATAAAACTCCTGCATTCAAATCTCTACGTCTCAGTAAAGTCTGTTCCCCCAAGACCCTGAACTGTGACACTTGGTACCAGAGTCATATGGGGCAGAATCTAAAATGGGATTTTGACTCTTGGGACCCACTGAGCGACCCATTAAACTTTAAGTTTCAGGTGCCTCTTGGTCACTTTGTGCTCCTCAGACCAGCAGGTAAGGAGAAAAGTCACCATCCTAACAGAGACAATTTACCTTGAAAATTAGGAGGAAGCTCATCCGTTTTTACACACACAGGTCAAGGGGCTAGGCAGAGTGATGAATACCTGTAATCTCAGTCCTTTTGGAAGCTGAGATGGGAGCAACACTGAAGCCTAGGAGTTTGAGGCTACAGTGAGCTATGATCGCACCACTGCACTCCAGCCTGGGTAATACAGTCAGACCTAGCCTCAAAAAAGATGATGAAGAAGAAGAAGGAGAAGAAGAAGAAGAAAAAGAAGAAGAAGAAGAGGTAGTTGTTGTTGTTGTTTGGTGCCTAGGTGATCCACTGGGGCATATCTTGGCACTCCAGTTGCCAATTTTAATAATAAACGGACAAGTACCTAAGCCATGGCCTGAGAATATCAGTGACCTTGAGATCATAGTTGAGAGTTTGGTGACCCTTCCAAGTAAGTTGCCTGGCCCAGCAGAGTTAATCAACGATGGTGAGGGGAAGTCTGGAATGCATACCTGAGCAGAGCATTGATGAGTATCAGGTACAAGCTGTACTGCCTAGGGCTGTTGTACCTCTAACCTTTTTCTTTAGGGTTTCCCCAAGAAAAGAAAGCAAGTACAGAGAGTATGTCTTCCCAGATAGGGTGAATTTACTGCATGAAAAAAATGAATTCAAGTGGCAGAAGGAGTGCGCTGTACTAGATGCTGTGGAGTGCCTCCACATCTCCCTCAGGGCCAAGCTATTTATCTCTTCAACTCTGATCCTCCCCAAGAATTACCCTTGGCCAAAGGAACCTGCTTGACCAAGTTTATGTTCCCTCTCTAGGGAAAGATCACATCCAATGACTGAGCAATGTAAGAGGACAAAAATTTAAACCCCTTGCCTCCATTTGGGATATCTCTAAAGGAATATCCCATACTCCGTGCGAATTGCTTGAAACTACTGTTGGGGCTGCATCACAGTTTAGTTTTCTCTTTGCCCATCCTGCTTTCCATTGCTACTCAATAAACTGCCTGCAACCAAATAGCCAAATTGAGCCTGTTTTCCAGATTCTGACAACCCCACCTTTGATAACCAAGAATCCAACTGGATATTATTTCATACTTTATATTATACATCCTTAAAAGACCCAAAATTTGTTGTTTTCTTCCTTTAGGTTAAAATTTACCATTCTGGTGACAGAAGCAAAAGCAAACATCAAAATGACTACTTCGTTTTTCCTCTAATGATTCTGGCTCTTGGGTTGTGATCACCTTGCTTATCAAATAACTGACTATAACACTATTGAGCTTTAATTTCATCTTATGCAGCAGCTTTTTTAAAACAGCAAATATTTTATAAGGCTTGTCTGCCTGCTGACTCAGAACCCATGTGGTAGCAGGTCTGACAAAATAGATTGTCATGATCTATTAAATCAATAATCCATGCACTAAAGAAAATTTACACTATAAGTCCCACTCTAGTCTCCAAAATGCATCACTACAAAGCTTGGGGAAAATGCTGGCTGCTATAACCAGTGCATAAAGTGGTAATTTCTAGGGCTTTTTTTTTCATAAGTAATACTGAAATAAATGAGTAGAATTTAGTCTTAAGGCATTCTAGTCAATCATTCCAAAATTTAGCATCACATAACCAGAGAGTCATCGAATTGAATGGGACCTCAAGAGATCATGTCATGTAACCTTACTCAAAAAAGTTGCCTAAATTAATTCAAATACATTCTTCTCTAAGATTATCTTACAGTTTTCCAAAGAAGTCACCCATTCCAGGACTCCAAAATCCTCGTTGGTAGTAAATTCTTTCACATGTAATAATAGGATTTTTTAAATTTGCTGTGTATTGGAAAAATAAAGCAGCTTTATTTTTCCAAAATAAAGATGACCAACATCTTCCTAGTCATCTTTTCTATGCTTGGAGAAGAGAAAAGACTCAACTTTTCTTTAATAAGCTTCTTTTAATCTGTCATTAGATTGTAGTTTCTAAGCTTTCATGCATGTTTTAAATCTTTCTGTTAAATATTAGAGGAGTTAGAGTGAAAATTTAACTAATCGAATAAAAATTAGTAGAGTCTTCACCAGTGACATTTCATCTTATTCATGCTAAATAAAATTGATTAATTTGTGGCTGACACAGTTAATTGACTAAAACCACCATTCCCAACCATGAGGTCACAAGCAAGTAAACAAAAAGTCAGCACAGTAAAGACAGTAGACAAGAAAAACAGCTTGGGTTCTAAATAGCATCTTTGAATAACTAAATCAACAGCAGCAATAGCACATCTCCAAAATTCTTGTTATATGGGGAGAATGAAACCCTGATGAAGTCACTACTTGTTGGGTTTTCTGTTACTTGAAGCCCAATCAATCTTAAGTGATACCACAATCATGATGAAGAAATATTCACTGTGTCATTTCTACAAAAGATGTGCATTCCGGCACCAGTCTTCCCTTCTTAATGCAAATGTTCAGTCAGCAGTGCAGTGTTATCCATTTATGTTCATTTAATTAATGCAGAGTCTTTCTCAAACTATGTGTTCTTTTTCCTCCTTAACTGCACCACTCTATTCTGTTTGAAAGAGGGCAGGAAATGATAAATGCAGTGATGGCAAGACAGAAGTCATAGAGTAACTAATAGAGTGTTGGTTTTAACATTACCACATGTTACTCATAGAGATTTGGGAGAAAATTATGTCATGCTGGCTTTGGGTGGGTGGGTGGAGAGGGATGCAGGCAGGGAGAAGAATCTTTAGACATCTCAGGATCCAGTGGCATCTAAATTGTTTTTTCCGTGGGTATCTTATTTTCATTCTTTGCCACATGAAAAGTAATGAAGCAAATACTGAAACCTCATTCAAGATATTTTTTTCAAGTAATTTCTGGCAAAGGCGGTTTATTTCCCAACCAAGAAGGATTAGTTTTCAGTACCAACCGTCTTTTTAATAAGATTAGTCATCCCTTGGGTGGCCCTACAGCTTCAGTTCCAGTGACAGCATCATGAGATTCCAGTTTTTGCTTTTGTGGCCATAGGAGGAAGGCATTCACAAATATCTTATACGTGCCAATGTTATCAGGAGGCTCAGAATACTACCCTTCTTAACACCACCACTACCTTTTTTTTTTTTTTTTTTTTTTTTTAAATTTATTTTTTTATTGATAATTCTTGGGTGTTTCTCACAGAGGGGGATTTGGCAGGGTCATGGGACAATAGTGGAGGGAAGGTCAGCAGATAAACAAGTGAACAAAGGTCTCTGGTTTTCCTAGGCAGAGGACCCTGCGGCCTTCCGCAGTGTTTGTGTCCCTGATTACTTGAGATTAGGGATTGGTGATGACTCTTAAAGAGCATGCTGCCTTCAAGCATCTGTTTAACAAAGCACATCTTGCACCGCCCTTAATTCATTTAACCCTGAGTGGACACAGCACATGTTTCAGAGAGCACAGGGTTGGGGGTAAGGTCACAGATCAACAGGATCCCAAGGCAGAGGAATTTTTCTTAGTGCAGAACAAAATGAAAAGTCTCCCATGTCTACTTCCTTCTACACAGACACGCAACCATCCGATTTCTCAATCTTTTCCCCACCTTTCCCGCCTTTCTATTCCACAAAGCCGCCATTGTCATCCTGGCCCCTTCTCAATGAGCTGTTGGGCACACCTCCCAGACAGGGTGGTGGCCGGGCAGAGGGGCTCCTCACTTCCCAGTAGGGGCGGCCGGGCAGAGGCGCCCCTCACCTCCCGGACGGGGTGGCTGGCCGGGCAGGGGGGCTGACCCCCCCCCCCGCCTCCCTCCCAGATGGGGCGGCTGGCCGGGCGGGGGGCTGACCCCCCAACCTCCCTCCCGGACGGGGCGGCTGGCCGGGCAGAGGGTCTCCTCACTTCCCAGTAGGGGCGGCCGGGCAGAGGCGCCCCTCACCTCCCGGACGGGGCGGCTGGCCGGGCGGGGGGCCGACCCCCCCACCTCCCTCCCGGACGGGGCGGCTGGCCGGGCGGGGGGCCGACCCCCCCACCTCCCTCCCAGACGTAGCGGCTGGCCGGGCAGAGGGGCTCCTCACTTCCCAGTAGGGGCGGCCGGGCAGAGGCGCCCCTCACCTCCCAGACGGGGCGGCTGGCCGGGCGGAGGGCTGACCCCCCCACCTCCCTCCCGGACAGGGCAGCTGGCCGGGCGGGGGGCTGACCCCCCCACCTCCCTCCCGGACGGGGCGGCTGGCCGGGCAGAGGGGCTCCTCACTTCCCAGTAGGGGCGGCTGGGCAGAGGCGCCCCTCACCTCCCAGACGGGGCGGCTGGCCGGGCGGAGGGCTGACCCCCCCACCTCCCTCCCGGACGGGGCGGCTGGCCGGGTGGGGGGCCTGACCCCCCCATCTCCCTCCCGGACGGGGTGGCTGGCCGGGCTGAGGGGCTCCTCACTTCCCAGTAGGGGCGGCCGGGCAGAGGCGCCCCTCACCTCCCAGACGGGGCGGCTGGCCGGGCGGGGGGCTGACCCCCCCACCTCCCTCCCGGATGGCACGGCTGGCCGGGCGGGGGGGCTGACCCCCCACCTCCCTCCCGGATGGGGCGGCTGGCCGGGCGGGGGGCTGACCCCCCCCCACCTCCCTCCCGGACGGGGTGGCTGCCGGGCGGAGACGCTCCTCACTTCCCAGATGGGGTGGCTGCCGGGCGGAGAGGCTCCTCACTTCTCAGACGGGGCGGCTGCCTGGCGGAGGGGCTCCTCACTTCTCAGACGGGGTGGTTGCCAGGCAGAGGGTCTCCTCACTTCTCAGACGGGGCGGCCGGGCAGAGACGCTCCTCACCTCCCAGACGGGGCCTCGGCCGGGCAGAGGCGCTCCTCACATCCCAGATGGGGCGGCGGGGCAGAGGCGCTCCCCACATCTCAGATGATGGGCGGCCGGGCAGAGACGCTCCTCACTTCCTAGATGTGATGGCGGCTGGGAAGAGGCGCTCCTCACTTCCTAGATGGGATGGCGGCCGGGGGGAGACGCTCCTCACTTTCCAGACTGGGCAGCCAGGCAGAGGGGCTCCTCACATCCCAGACGATGGGCGGCCAGGCAGAGACACTCCTCACTTCCCAGACGGGGTGGCGGCCGGGCAGAGGCTGCAATCTCGGCACTTTGGGAGGCCAAGGCAGGCGGCTGCTCCTTGCCCTCGGGCCCGCGGGGCCCGTCCGCTCCTCCAGCCGCTCAACACCACCACTACCTTAACACAGCCACCACCAATTGCGGTAGTAATAATTTTCTTTGGTGGACGTTATTTATTTCTTGGGTTTCCAGAAACAAATTTACTTTATAAATGTGAAAATATATAGCTAATAGAAAAACATGATTTTCCATGCTAATATTTTCAGATATTTGTACAATTCAAAAAATTACAGAGAGAGAAAAATAGAGAACAGGGAATAATTACGTACAGTGTAAAATGTTAGGTTATTTTCATTTTCATTGAAGACTTTTCTTACTCCTGAGCTTATGAAAGTAGTGACCATGAGCATTGAGTTTTAAATAATTGTTTTTAGGGTTGATAGTTGAAGAAATGAGAACTCAGTAATAATCTTTAGACTGTGATATGGCTTTGCTAACTAAGGTGAACCCACTCATTGGAAAATAAGACAGCCCTGGCTTCACTATAAGAGTACACTGAACAATATTAAATTAAAACATCCTATTCCTTCATACACTGTTTATAAGCAGATTACTATAAAATAACATTAGAGGTCATAATGGAAATATAAATAACATTTTGAAGTTTATCCCTCATTCTTTTCATCATTCAAAGAGGAATGTATAAGGTCACTTGTAAGTAGAGTGTCATACATCTACCTGCCTTCATTGGCCCTTAGATGGTCAGAACTATTCTCTGCTTTAAATGGGAATTTGTTGAGTCTATTGAAAACTGTAGGATAAGCCAGTTTCCCTATGAATCCTTTGTAAAAATATCAAAATAAGTGAACAAAAGATGCCAAACTCTATCAAGATGTATTGGCAATTTGCTACAATCAGACCAACTGAAGCACAAGTTTGTACCTTGCCCAATTCCATCTAGAGACTACATAATGAAAAACCTTTTGACAAGTTGATGAATAATCCTGAGCCGTTAAAGTTCAGCTGAGTGAGCAATTAAACATTCCAAACAGCAGTGAACCTTCAGAAGGTAATTTATGATAATTTTATGCACAAGAGCTCAGTGGCTTTTTAATTTGATAGAATGTTAGTAGCACAAATTTCTAACAAGGGAGTGTCAGGATTCCATACATCACTGAGATTGCTTAAACATTTCAAACGTGGCTGATGAATGAAGTTTCTTGAGATGTGGGGAGATACAGAAGGTGTCGGAAGGTTGAGATTATTCATCATATCAATTATTGAAAGTGGATGCACTGACATCACACTCCCTGATCATATTTTATGTCCACAGTAAAGATAAGTCAAGCTTGAAATAACAGACTTTCCTAACTACAGTATCTGCAGGTGATTCACCTCCCTTTTTTTCCCTCCTCTATTTCTCTACACTTTCCTTCAAACTCATTGTCACATCTTTCATTCCTACCCAGATTTTTAAATATCCAGACCCCTTACTTGAAAAATCAGAGAAATAATAAGAATAAGGGCAAGAAGGGGAGAGCAAAAGGGAAAGAAAGAGAAGTGAGAATGAGTACAAAGCTAGAATCATAGACTCACAGGGTCAGAAAGAACTGACGGAATACTTTGGTTTAGTTGCCCCATTTTTACCAATACACATATCTGCACACACAAATACACACACTTCCATGCATGCACATACACACATACAAATACACACCTCAAATAGGGATATCTCCTCTACCACATCCCCAGCAAAGCAATGGCCATCCAGCCCCCACTCTTTTAGTACCTCCATCCTTGAATTAACACAGCACATATCTGGCAGCCTTTTTTTTTTCAGAGCACTAAAAAAAATGACACGATCTGTTTTAAGCAGAAGTAAATTCCTTCTTGCTGCAATTTCTACCCTAGAATCATTGAATTTTAAAACTAGAAAAGACCCCAGAGATCATTTAGACTATAGTTCTCACCTTTTAGCTCATGGAGCCTCATAATCATTTTACCCTTACATTATTTTTTTTCTCTCTTTTTTTTATTTAAATGAATTGCTCACTTTGAACACTGAGCTACTTTGCACAAAATCAGGATTTCTACCTTAAAAAACTGAAAAATTAGAAGCTCTGGAAACATGTTCCTCCATAACTCTCATAGCAACATTTGGCTGCTGCTTGGCAGCAGCTGCCCATTTAAAGGAGGCATGCTCTCTCCATTTAATCACAAGTCCTACCACCCTCTACAGCCTTACCCCCAGGCAGATTTACTCATGTATGACACCAGCCAGGGCCACATAGAAATTTGAGTTTGTGATCCTTGACTTATATTAACTTGTTTTTTATAATCAAAGAAATGAAGCCAATGGTAATAAAATGACCTTAACCAAGGTCACCTAGCTAGTTAGGGGCAGAACCCAGATCTATTAACTCCTTACCCAGTGCTCATTTCATTATACTATAGATTTAGTTCAGTTCATCTTTCTCATCACTAGAAATGTTTTTCTTTTAATGTAAAAAAAAGGGAAAATAGATTAATCTCAAAATACAAGTTATGCCTCTATATCAATTTCCATTCAGGCTAAATTTAATCCATAAGCAATTAAATATTCTTGACATGGGTATGTTTTGTTGTCTACTCACTTCTCTCCATTTTTGATAGAGATTTCTGCTCTAAAATCAAAGTAGCACATTAGAAATTGCATCACTGGAGTAATAGGTATGGACTTTCTTTATACCTATTTCTGTTTTCTTCTATAAATGTTATATATTTACATAGCAGATACCAAATGCTGACACAAAGTCAGTTTTATTTCTCTGCTACAAACACAAAGATTGAGTGCATGATCATGGTGACTATTTTCTAATGCTTTTATTTCATCAATGAATTGGTAAAACAAAACCAAACAAATAAACACAAGCTCAATTAGCTATCATCTCTGCAGATGTCATTTCTTGGTAATGTGCTATTATAATTCATGTCAGGTAAACAGTCTTGCAGATGAAGTCAGAATTATTCAGGCAAGTTTCTTCATACCACCCTGTAAAGCTGTTTCCCTCACATGGGGAACTTCCACAAAGACTACTTGTTTACAGAGACCATGTGCATCGCGATCCTCTTTTGTGTTTCTCCCTCCTTGGTACCAAGCATATGTTTTTAATGTTAACACTCCCTCATCTATAGAGACCATCTGCTTATTAAAAAGAGTGTTCTCTTCCCTTCTAAGCCAGCTTTTTTCATGAAGCGTCCTCTGCTAGTTTCACATATTTAGGGGAAAGAGAAAAGGCTATGATCTTCAAGTCCAAATAAGGTTTGGGGATCTAGTGGGGCTTTGTAGAAGGAGTGGAAGGTGCTTGTGTGAATCCTGAGAAAGAGAGATGTCACATACCCAAATGCCTGAAGCTGTGCTTTTTCTGCCCCCATAGTCAAGGGATAAAGCTTAATGGTCCTGTCTCCACTATATCACCACCACCTAATCCAATAGATCCAGGTGCTTTATTTTCCTTCTTTGCTCCTGCGCCCAATCTCGGCAATGCAGATGTTATGATAATGAGATGTAGATTTCACTGAAAACAATGCACTTAACCTTGAAAGTTGAATAGCCATTGGTCAGGCAGATGAAGGTTACTGGGCTACAAGCTGAAAGAACTCCATGTGCAAAGGCCTAACGTAAGAGCATGTGATCTACAGTAGTACGAATTGCTCGGTATTTTTAAAGCTTAGGGAATCTATAAAGGAAAAGCATGAAACAAACAAAAGAGAACTGGAGGAAGATGAAGTCTTGAGCATAAAAAAAATGTCACCCCTATTTAAGACTGATTTGGCTGGTAAATCCTGAGTTTAAATTTTGATACCTCTGGTTTGAGGGGGCAAGATCTCAAGAGACTAAGAAAGGGCAATAATAGTTGTTGCACCTGCCTTGCTTTAGAGATTCAAGGAGAATAATCTTGGCACAAAGTCCATGTTTGAGGTTGTGTGTCCAAGAGCACAGGAGTCCTGAAAAACCTCAGCTATCATCAGTTTTGTGGAGGTTTCTCCACCTAAACCACAGCTGCTGTCCACAAACTCTCTCTGTATCTCCTAGAAAAGGATGGGTTGAGAAAGAAAGTTTCCTAGGTTAGAGTAGTGAGCTTTTCCCCAGGGAAGCAGGTGCCAACTGATATTTGAAAGAAACTTTGTAACTTAATAGGGAGTTACTATAGTAACAGGGAGTGAGCAATGGTGAGGAGCATCAGTTAGCAGGAGAGGGAAACACACCTCTTGTGGACTGAACCACCAACATCCCACTCTGCAAAGAGCGAAGTGGCCAGAAAATGGCAGGAAAAGCAAACTGCTTGTATGCAACAGTTCTCTTCCCTATGCCAAGGACATTATAAAGCCAGGAGAAGAACTGGAGAAATGTAGTTAGTTAATATGTCCAGATACTGATATGTTTTTGAGAGTAAAAGGAGACACAATTAACAATTGTAGGATGGCTGGGTGTGGTGGCTCACGCCTGTAATCCCAACACTTTGGGAGGCTGAGACAGGCAGATCACGAGGTCGGGAGATCAAGACCACCCTGGCCAACATCGTGAAACCCCATCTCTACTAAAAACACAAAAATTAGCTGGGTGTGGTGGCATGTGTTTGTAATCCCAGCTACTCAGGAGGCTGAGGCAGGAGAATCGCTTGAAACTGGGAGGCGAAGATTGCAGTGAGTGGAGATCGCGCCACTGCACTCCAGCCTGGAGACAGAGCAAGACCTATCACAACAACAACAAAAAATATTGTAGGACAACAGCCATAAATTAGACAGTTCAGCACACACTTGGACAAATGATCACTCTACTTAAGACAACTAGATTTAAACTTCCTCTCCTATCTGATCACTCTTATCTAATCTCTCTTCTTGCCTGTCTTCTCCCTTCCCAACCCCTCCTTGACTTAGAGGTCAGTATCACCACCCACCAAGTGTCTAAAGCCAGAAACTAGATTCCTACCTTTCTCTCAGCCCCTAATGTTACACCCTTGTGGTACCCTCCTCAAGGTTTCAATGCATGCCCACAGCACTTAGAAAAAAATCCAGACCTCTGATCATGGCCTACAAAGGCTTATGTAATCTGGCCCTTGACTATTTCTTGAATCTTATCTCATGCCATTTTCCCTTTTTCTCTATCCCTCTGAACTTCTTTCAGTTTCTAGAGCCAGCTAAGCACTGTTCTGCCTTGTGGTCTTTGCACAGCCATTCCTTATGTCCATTATGCACTTGCCCTAGTTCGTCATACACCTGTCTTCTCTTCCTTCTTTTTAACCCAAACTTCCTCTCTTGGAATAGACTTTCTTGACCCCCATCTAAAGAAGTGCTCTCTCTCCTTACCCGTGCATATCAGAACAGCCTCCTTGTTTATCAATTTGCTCACTTGCATATTGTCTGTCTCTCCCACTAGTAAGGAGAAAACAACACTGTTCTGTCCATGCTAAATTGCTAATGACCTAGCTTAGCAACAAGCTTTTGGTAGACACATACTTACTCTTTTTAAAAAAAAAAAAAAAAAAAAAAAGCAAATGTTGACTCATTGAACAGTGTCTACGGCACTTTCCACCATTAGAATCTACCATCCTTAATCAAGATGAAGAGGAGGAAAGGGAAGATAAGAAGCCTCCAGCGCCACCTACTACAAAATAAAACTAGACCAAACATCAGAGAACAAAGTTTCATATTCTTAGTCTCTCCCTTGGGCATCCTTCAGGACTTTCAACTCTCTTCTGAAGAAACCTCATGCTAAACAATTATGGAGACCTGTATGGGGTCCATTTAAGGCCGCCCCTTCTAACTCCCAGAACTACGCTACTGCTGTCTCTGGTGTTTCATAGACATCAGCTTGATATACTTTGAACATGGCTAAGAACCAAAACTGGGCCTGCTGGTGGATTTCTCACGGCCCCAGGCTAAACATCTTTAGTTATCTGACAATCAATATGCACGAATGTAATTATTTGTTTTCCAGGAGTTAGATGAACAAGATCATTCTAAATTCTCATGTTATTAATACATGGTAATGAAAGTGAAATATTAATGACTTAGTCAAGTGTATTAAGAATTTGAAGTGCTGTGCAAACTGAAAACTTGCATCTTAGAGGGGGGAAAAAGCACAAATGCACCAGATGGCTTGGTGACAGCCATTTTATTTAGTGCAGTCTCAGCAGATATGTTTGATAGCCGTCAGGAAAGGCCATCAACTATGCAAGGGAGGGTGCTGTACCTGATTGTCTGAGAGGGCTGTGCCCAAAGAAATCAAATGGATGGAGTCGAGCCGTGCTTCTTTGTGTCTCAAGTGTGCTTGGCCCTGAATGAGATATTAGGGCATCTCAAGCTATCGGTGAACTCAGTGGCAAAGTCTGCTGCTTCCCCCGCCCCTCCCCTGCACTGAGCTGTCATATCAATGCCTGGCTTTAGAGTAACAATCGTTATACCTCTTAAAATGTGATAGAGTTGAAAGAGCCCCAGACTAAGAGTCAGCAGAACTGAGCTCCAGCCAGCCTGACCACAGAGGAGATGAGGGGCGCTGAGCAAGCAATATCATACCTTTGGGGTGAAGTTTCCTCACCTGTAACCTAAAGACAATAAAATCCACCTCTCTGTCTCACTGAGGTTGCTGAAAAAGTTAAAACAAATAACATTTTGTAGTAAATCGACTATGCAAATAGCAGAGGATGAAATTGTTTTGAGGCTGGATTTGCTTTCTCACCTCTGATACATTTTTGTGTCTGGTTTATTCATACTTATACAAGAAGTATATCTCTCAATAATAAATTCCTCTTGTAGTCAATTTTTACTCAAAGATTTTCTGTCTTTAATTTTCTGGATGATCTATGTATATACTAGGACATTATAAATGCCTATATAGACATTATATATGCCTATTCTGTTATGTCACTGTACTATCCTTAATTATTCTGCCTGATAATATCAAGATTAATTAAGAGCACAAAGGCAAAGACAGGAGGTTTCTGTCTAAATCTACATAGATTTAGAAACCTCCTCTCATTTTTACCTTCTTAAAATGAAACCAGTTAATTTATGTATTCATATATTCCCCAGTCTGGTGCCATAGCTGGATATTCAGCCACAATTTCCAACCTCCACCCAGGATCTGGAATCCCGGTTTACCCTAGAGCAAACAAAAAGAATTGGCCCATGTCACATGACAGACTATGGAAGGCAATAATAATTAGGATAATAATAAACCAAGTATAAGTAAGGGAAGCATTCTCCCTATTGAAAAAGTAGAGATTATTTTTCTATCAATTCTATGGAGAAGATTCCCTTAGAGCCAGGAAATATCAGCCAGACGGGAGTTTCCCAATGAGCTTTGACTGAGAAGCTGAAACTCCTGTTCATTCTTCAATGGACAGTTCAGAGAGTAACTACTGAGGTGTTTAAAGGACTTACAGAATTTTCTTATTAGCCCACACCTATCTCCTGATCTTAATAAATCACAGAAGTCAGTTTACTCATAAGGGAACCTGAAATGTAGAAACTCTGCTGGCTCAATAGACATTTACATTTGTTAAACCTTAATCTCTTTCTCATTGCTAAATTCTGTTTCTGACTCCAGATTTGTATCTTAAGATTCTTTTGGATTTTGTCACATGTTATTTCCTCTGGTTGTACCCTAATGATTTCTTCTTTTAGCTAACCCTAGTTTGTTAACTTATCCATTCAACAAATATCTGCTGAGAGCCTACTATAATCCTAGCACTGGCCTGGACACTGAGAAGGCTATACATGAATGCAAAGTCTCTACTCTCAAGGATCTGATAATTGAGTCAGAGTTCACATCATTCGAACATCTTTAATGATCTCATCAACATACACAAATAAAATCATTACTCTGTAATAATCATGATGGAATAAGCTATGCATCAGTAACAAATAAACCCCCAAATCTCAGAGCCTTGACACAGTGAAGCTGTATTTCTCACTCATGTCACAATCTGATGCAGGTATCTTGGCCTCTCTGTGCTGGCCTCTCCAAGTGAGGACCCCAGAGACTCAGGCTTCTTCCAGCTTAAAACTCTGTCAACCCAAAGCTTTTCATTTCCAGCCATATAGAGATTTAATGTCTCTCTTACTCTCTCCTGCCTCCACCCAAAGTGATGCAGTATTTCTGCTCATATTCTATTAGTGAGAATTAGTCACACCCCACCCAGATGCATGGGATCTGTGAAATATTGAGGAGTGCATGAATTTTTCTGGCATACTAATATTCTCTGACACAGTCTTCTAGGAAAAATAAGAACAAACCCCAGACTGTCATATCACTTCATATTTCACAATATATGTAAAATACTAATGTCCACCTGCAAACTAATTTCTAGCACAATATCTGATACATAGCAGGCACTCAATAAGTTTTTGTGGAATATAGCAAACAATAAATGATGTAGTGGGGCTAATGATTTATACAAATACCAACATATGTAGAAGTTAACAGTCACTTAAAATACAAGAAAGACACACACTATACCATTTCACATTGCCCTTAACTGGCAAGTTGTACAGATAATAGGTACTTAAGAGATGGGAGCAACCACCTTAGACTGCAAAGTAAAAATGTTTTTTTTTTTTTTATGGTGCTGGAAGTTGGCAGAGAAACAGTAAATATTTGAACACAGAGAAAGGTGATACATAGTAGAGAACTTTGCGATCAAAGACATATAAGCAGGTAAAGGCAAAGTGTATGTGAGAATCAGTAGGTCAAATGACTTGCTTAGATAAGAACACAGTTGTAAGAAAGTTATTATAAGAGAAATTTGGAGAAAAAGAGTCAATAATTTAAGCTTAAATGGTTATCTGCTCCATATAAAAATTTTGAACAGAGGAGTAACAACATAGAGGTTGCAGAGGTAATGTTGATTCCTATTGCTATTGTCAAGCCAGCCTGTTCTAGATGGTTAGGCTAAGTCCTGCATCAAAATAAAACAGGATAAGTACAAAGAAAGTGTAGTCTTGTACTAAACCAGTGTAAAATAACTGCCCAACATTATGGGAATTAAAAATCTATATGGACTAAGGGGTATAAACCATAAAATTGATATAGCAAATTTTGGCCACTTTTGAGAGTTATTTGTCTATGTCTATGAAGGATGAATAACTCAAAGGTGAAATAAAGATACAACTAAGTTGGGTGCATTAGTCAAACAGTATATATTGTCTAATTATTTAAGGAAATAATTTATATATCTGTATAATTTATGATTATGTTAAAAACATTTCTTTTTTAATTGTATTTAATTTTTTAAACTTTTATTTTAGGTTCGGGGTACATGAGCAGGTTTATTATATAGGTAAATTGCATGATATGGGGGTTTGGCATACAGATTATTTTGTCACCCAGGTAATAAGCATAGTACCTAATAGGTAGTTTTTCAGTTCTCATCCTTCTCCTACTTTCTGTCCTCAAGTAGGCCCGGTGTCTGTTCCCTTCTTTGTGTTCACGTGTATTCAATGTTTAGCTCCCACTTGTAAGCGAGAACATTCAGTATTTCATTTTTTGTTCCTGTATTTAGTTCACATAGGATAATGGCCTCCAGCTCCAACCATGTTGCTGCAAAGAACATAATCTTGTTTTTTTATGACTGTGTAGTATTCCATTATGTATATGTACCCCGTTTTCTTTATCAAGTCTACCATTGATGGGCATTTAGGTTGATTCCATGTCTTTGCTATTGTGAGTAGTGCTGCATTGAACATATGCATGCATGTGTCTTCGTGGTAGAATGACTTATATTCCTTTGGATATATGCTCAATAATGGGATTGTTGGGTCAAATAGTAATTTTGTTATAAATTCTTTGAGAAATTGCCTGACTGCTTTCCACAATGGCTGAACTACCAGCAGTGTGTAAGCATTCCATTTCCCAGCAAGCCCACCACTACCTGTTTTTATTTTTTTTCTCTCTTTTTATAATTAGTCAAGCTAGTGGTCTATCTTACCTATTCTTTCAAAACACCAACTCCTAGATTTGTTTATCTTTTGTATGGCTTTTCACCTCTCAATTTCCTTCAGTTCAACTCTTGTTTTGGTATTTCTTGTCTTCTACTGGCTTTGGGATTGGTTTGTTCTTGTTCTAGTTCCTCAAGGTGTGATGTTAGGTTGTTAATTTGAATATTTCTAACTTTTTGATGTGGGCGTTTAGCTCTATAAACTTCCCTTCTAAAACTGCTTTAGCTGTGTCCCAGAGATTCTGATACATTGTATCTTTGTTATCATTAGCTTCAAAGAATTTATTGATTTCTGCCTTACTTTTATTGTTTACACAAAAGTCACTCAGGTTGCTTAATTTCCACGTAATTTTATGGTTTTGAGTGATTTTCTTAGTATTGATTTCATTTTTATTGTTCTGTGGTCTGAGAGTGTGGTTGGTATGATTTTCATTTTTTGAATTTGCTTAGAATTATTCTGTGGCCAGTTGGGTGGTGGATTTGAGTGTGTGTCATGTGCATAGCAGAAAATGTGTATTTTGTTGTTTTTTAGTGGAGAGTTGCATATATGTCTGTTACGTCCATTTGGTCAAGAGTTCAGGTCCCAAATATCTTTTCAGTTTTCAGTTTTCTGCCTCAATGATTTGACTAATATTATTAATAAGGTGTTGAAGTCTCTCATTATTAATATGTGGTTATCTAAGTCTCTTTTAATGTCTCTAAGAACTTGTTTTATGGATTTGGGTACTCCTGTGTTGTGTATACATACACACACACATACATATATATAATAGTTAGATATTCTTGTTGACTTGAACTCTTTAACATTATGTAATGTCCATCTTTGTCTTTTTTGATCACTGTTGGTTTAAAGCCTGTTTTGTCTGAAATTAGAATAGCAACCCCTGCATTTTTCTCTTTTCCATTTCCTTGGTAGATTTTTCTCCATCCCTTTACTTTGAGACTATCGGTGTCATTGCATGTGAGATGTGTGTCTTGAGGGCAGCATACAGTTGGGTCTTGCAGCTTTATCCAACTTGCCACTCTGTGCCTTTTATTGGAGAGGAAATGGGCATATATAATTGGATGCATGTAGATGTTTTTTTGTTTCTGTTTAGAAAGCTTGTTTTTTAAAAACTGAATAAACACACAAAAATTGAATCATTGAAGTAGTTG
Source organism: Homo sapiens (assembly GCF_000001405.40). NCBI lineage: Eukaryota > Metazoa > Chordata > Mammalia > Primates > Hominidae > Homo > Homo sapiens. Next base: position 35,644,514 of record NC_000015.10, on the reverse strand, counting down.
TTCAATTCATAAGCATATTCAGTAATGGTTTCCTTTATATATTTTTTCTTGGTGCATTTAAATATGGTCCTCTGTTTAAATATTTCAATCTGAGACTCTTAAAAGTGATTTGAAAAGCACTTGGTTGCAAAGTTTATCCCTGGCAACATTATTCTACTTTATGTTCAATTAATTCCCAAAGTAGGTAAGTACTTTACTGGGAGTTGAGAGATTTAGCTTACATATTTGTGATCAAGGATGATGACATTGAGTCTCATGAAGCTACTTATTTTTTATTCAAGAAAAAAAACACTAACAATTATTTTCAATAATTTGAAGAATATGGCCAAATGTATTGGAGTAACAAATGAATGACTGACAGGACTAAATTCGTTTAGTCAATGTCCTATCCATAAGGCAGAGCAGTGGTTTTCAAATAGTATGATACCACCCAGTTGGTGAGCCATGACATCAAGTTAGTGGGTAACAGACTGTGTTTTTTAGAAAAAGAATAGAATAGAATAATTCAAGTATTAAAGGCAGATATTTATGGAAATTTTGTTTTTATTATGTGTGTATATGTATAGAGATGCAATATAAAATTATTTTTTACTATAGGTCAGGGCCAAGAAGTTTGAAAATCACTGATCTAGAGACATAGTAAAGAATATGCATACTTTCAATAGTCATATCAAAATAAGAAAATGGTTAATACTATTCTATGTAAATTACACTATCAAATCACATCCACGAATACACATTTCTTCTTTCTTCTTTTTTTAACTTTTATTTTAAATTGAGGAGTACATGTGAAAGTTCGTTGTATAGGTAAACTTTTGTCTTGGGGGTTTGTTGTTCAGATTATTTCATCACCCAGGTATTAAGCCTAGTACTCATTAGTTATTTTACCTGATCCTCTCTATCCTCCCACGCTCCACCATCTAATAGGCCCCAGTGTATGTTGTTCTCCTCTATGTATCCATGTATTCTAATGATTTAGCTCCCACTTATAAGCAAGAAAATGTGGTATTTAGTTTTCTGTTCCTGTGTTAGTTTGCTCAGGATAATGGCCTCCAGCTTCATCCATTTTCCTGCAAAGGACATGATCTTGTTCTATTTTATGGCTGCATAGTATTCCATGGTGTATCTATACCACATTTTTTTTTATTCAGTCTACCATTGATGGGCACTTAGGTTGATTCCATGTCTTTGCTATTGTGAATAGTGCTGCAATGACCATATGTGTGTATGTGTCTTTATGATAAAATGATTTATATTCCTTTGGGTATATGCCCAGTAATAGGAATGCTGGGTCAAATGGTATTTCTGTCTTTAGGTCTTTGAAGAATCACCACACTGTTTTTCACAATAATTTAACTAATGTATACTCCCACCTACAGTGTATAAGTGTTAATTTTTCCTCACAACCTCTCCAGCACCTGCCATTTTTTGACCTTTTAATAGTAGCCATTCTGACTGGTGTGAGATGGTATCTCATTGTGGTTTTGATTTGCATTTCTCTAATGACAATAATGTTGAGCTTTTTCTCATATGCTTTTTGGCTGCATGTATGTCTTCTTTTGAAAAGTGCCTGTTCATGTCCTTTGCCCACTTTTTAATGGGTTTTTTTTTCTCTTGTAACTTTGTTTAAGTTCCTTATAGATGCTAGATAGCAGATCTTTGTCAGAGGCATGGTTTGCAAATATTTTATCCCATTCTGTAGGTTGTCTGTTTACTCTGCTTCTTGTGCTGTGCAGATGCTCTTTAATTTAATTAGGTCCCATTCATCCATTTTTGTTGTTGATGCAATTGCTTTTGGTGTCTTCATCATCAAATCTTTGCCCACTCCTATCTTCAGAATGCTGTTGCCTATGTTGTCTTCCAGGGTTTTTATAGTTTTGGAGTTTACATTTAAGTCTTTAATCTATCTTGAGTTGATTTTTGTGTATGTTATAAGGAAGGAGTCCAGTTTCAGTCTTCTGCATACTGCTAGCCAGTTATCCCAGCACCATTTATTGAATAAGGAGTCCTTTCTCCATTACTTATTTTTGTCATCTTGGTTGAAGATCAGATGGTTGTAGGTGTATAGCTTCATTTCTGGGCTGTCTATTCTCTTCCATTGATCTATATGTCTATTTTTGTACCAGTACCATGCTGTTAGTATAGTTGGAAGTAGGTAGCGTGATGCCTCCAGCTTTGTTCTTTTTGCTTAGGATTGTCTTGGCTATTTGGGCTCTCTTTTGGTTGCACATGAATTTTAAAATAGTTTTTTCTAATTCTGTGAGGAATGTCATTGGTAATTTGATAGGAATAGTACTGAATCTATAAATTGCTTTGGGCAGTATGGCCATTTTAACAATATTGATTCTTCCTATCTATGAGCATGGAATGTTTTTCCATTTGTTTGTGTCATCTCTGATTTCTTTGAGTGGCATTTTACAATTCTTGTTGTAAATATCTTTCATCTCCCTGGTTAGCTGTATTCTAGGTATTTTATTCTTTTTCTGGCTATTGTGAATAAAATTGTATACCTGATTTGGCTCTCAGCTTAACAATTGTTGGTCTATAGGAATGCTAGTGAATTTTGAACATTGATTATGTACAGTGAGATTTTACGGAAGTTGTTTATCAGCTTAAAGAGCTTTTGGGCCTAGACTATGGGCCTTTTAGATATAGGATTATCTCATCTGCAAATAGGGTAGTTTGATTTCTTCTCTTCCTATTTTTCATACCTTTATTTTTTTCTGTTGCCTTATCACTCTGGTGGGACTTCCAATGTTATGTTGAATAGGAGTGGTGAGAGAGGGCATCTTTGTCTTGTGCCAGTTTTCAAGGGAAATACTTCCTGCTTTTGCCCATTCAGTATGATGTTGGCTGTGGGTTTGTCATAGATGGCTTTTATTATTTTGAGGTATGTTTCTTCAATACCTAGTTTATTGAGAATTTTTAACATGAAGGGATGTTGAATTTTATTAAAGGTCTTTTCTGCATCTATTGAGATAATCATGTGTTTTTTGTCTTTATTTCTGTTATGTGATGAATTGCATTTATTGATTTGCATGTGTTGAACTAACCTTGCATCCTAGGAACAAAGCCTACTTGATTATGGTGGATAAGCTTTGTGATGTACTATTGGATTCGGTTTGCCAGTATTTTGTTGAGAATTTTTGTATCGAAGTTCATCAAAGATGTTGGCCTGAAGTTTTCTTTTTTTGTTGTGTCTCTGCCAGGTTTTGGTATCCGGATGATGCTGACCTCATAGAATGAGTTAGGGATGAGTCCACCTCCTCAATTTTTTTGGAATAGTTTCAGTAGGAATTGTACCAGCTCTTTTTTGTACGTCTGGTAGAACTGGGTTATTAATCCATCTGGTTCTGGGCTTTTAGTGGTCGGTAGGCTGTTTATTACTGATTCAATTTCAGAGCTTATTTTTAGTCTGTTCAGGGATTCAATTTCCTCCTGGTTCAGTCTTGGGAGAGTGTATTTGTCCAGGATTTTATCCACTTCTTCTGGGTTTTCTAGTTTGTATCCATAAAGGTGTTCATAACATTCTCTGATGATTATTTGTAGTTTTGTGGAATCAGTGATAATATCCCTTTTGTAATTACAATTGTGTTTATTTGGATCTTCTCTTTTTTTCTTTATTAGTCTAACTAGTGATCTATTTAATAATTTTTTTCAAAAAACCAACTCCTGGATTTGTTGATCTTTTGAATGTTTTTCATGTCTCAATCTCCTTCAGCTCAGCTCTGATTTTGGTTATTTGTTGTCTTCTGCTAGCTTTGGTGTTTGTTTGTTTTGATTCTCTAGTTTTTTAGTTGTGATGCTAGGTTGTTACATTGAGATCTTTCTAATTTTTTGATGTGGACATTTAGTGCTGTCTGTTTCCCTCTTAATACTGCCCTAGCTGTGTCCCAGATATTCTGGTATGTTGTATCTTTATTCTCACTAGTTTCACAAAACTTCTTGATTTCTGCCTTAATTTCATTACTTACCCAAAAGTCATTCAGAAGCAAATTATTCAATTTCCATGTAATTGTATAGTTTTAAGTGATTTTCTTAGTCTTGACCTCTAATTTTATTCTACTGTAGTCCAAGAGAGTGATTATTATGATTTCATCTATTTTGCATTTGCATAGGAGTGTTTTGTGCCCAATAATGTGGTTGATTTTAGAGTATGTGACATGTGGCAATGAGAAGAATGTATATTCTGTTGTTTTGGGGTGGAGAGTTCTGTAGATGACTATCAGGTCCATTTGATCCAGTGATGAGTTCGGGTCTTGAATATCTTTGTTAACTTTCTGCCTTGATGATCTGTCTAATACTGTCAGTGGAGTTTTGAAGTCTCCCACCATCATTGTGTGAGAGTCTAAGTCTCTGAAAGTTTCTAAGAACTTGCTTTATGAATCTGGGTGCTCCTGTGTTGGGTGTGTATATATTTAGAATAGTTAGGTCTTCTTGTTGAATTGAACCCTTTACCATTATGTAATGCCCTTCTTTGTTTTGTTTTGTTTTTTTATCTTTGTTAGCTTAAAGTCTGTTTTGTCTGAAATTAGGAATATATTGTCGGCTTTTTGTCTGTTTTCCATTTGCTTGGTAGGTTTGCCTCGATCCCTTTATTTTGAGCTTATGGGTGTCATTGTCACTGCAGTGAGATGAGTCTCTTGAAGACAGCATACCAATCTATCCTGGTTCTTTAAGCAGCTTGCCACTTTGTGCCTTTTAATTGGGGAATTTAGCCTATTTACATTCAAGTTTCATACTGATAGGTGTAGATTTGATCCATGTTAGCTGGTTATTATGCAGATTTGTTTGTGTGGTTGCTTTATAGTGTCACTGGTCAGTGTATTTAAAGTTGTTTTTGTAGTGGCTGGTATTTATCTTTCCTTTGCATATTTAGTGCTTCCTTCAGGAACTCTTGTAAGGCAAGTCTCCAGGTAACAAATCCCCTCAGCATTTGCTTGTCTTAAAAGGATTTTATTTCTCCTTCACTAATGAAGCTTAGTTTGGCCAGATATGAAATCTTGGTTGGAATTTCTTTTCTTTAAGAATGGTTAATATTGGCCCCCAATCTCTTCTAGCTTTCTGCTGAGACATCTGCTGTAAGTCTGATGGGCTTCCCTTTGCAGGTGACCTGTCCTTTCTATCTAGCTGCCTTTAACAGTTTTTTCTTTCATTTTGACCTTGGAGAATCAGATGATTATACACATCTCTTCTTAAGGATGCTGGGTAGATTTTGAGAGCATATGAGTATTACCTAACAATTTTTACAGACAAATTTCTCTCTTGACTCTGCTAGGCCTATTTCTTCTTCTTATTCTTTTTCTTCCTCCTCCTCCTCCTCCTCCTTCTTCTTCTTCCTTTTATGGAGACGGAGTCTTGCTCTGTCACCCAGGCTGGAGTGCAGTGTCATGATCTCGGTTCACTGCAACCTCTGCTTCCCAGGTTCAAGCAATTCTGCTACCTCAGCCTCCCAGGTAGCTGGCACTACAGGCACATGCCACCACGCCTGGCTAATTTTTTGTATTTTAGTAGAGATGGGGTTTCACCATGTTGCTCAGTCTGGTCTTGAACTCCTGAGCTCAGGCAATCCACCCACCTTGGCCTCCCAAAGTGCTAGGATTACAGGCGTGAGCCACTGTGCCTGGCTAGCCTTTTTCTTCTTAATGAGAAGAAATAAATTGGGATTAAGTAGTTCTGCTTTATCTGTTATTCTTACTCCATTTGCTCCTAGCAGAAGGCCAGTGCTTTCTTGTTTTTCTTATACAAAGCATAACTGAAACCAAGCTCCTTTTGGTCACCCACATTCACATCTGACTCTACTCCCTCTACCTTTGGTATCCAGATCCCACTCAAATTAATTTACCCCACTCTCTATATCAATCCTGGATCATGTACCTTTTCTTTTATTTTTGGCTAATTTTCATTGAAAAGATTAATTCACTTGATATCTATACGTCAACAGTAAATTACTTAGCTGTCTCCCCTCTTCCTCTCTGTTATTAGCAATTTCATACCAGCAGATGGTTTTGCAATAGTTAACCATCTCTTTTGGGGTCCTTTGGTGAGCAGCCTTGAATTCAACTTCCCCAACCTTTCACCTTTTCTTGCCTTATATTCCTACCTATGTTGCTAGAACAAATCTCTTCCTGTACCATTACTATTTTATTTTTCACTGACATCTGGTCTAATTCATTTTTTAAATGCCTGTTCCCTCTTAGTTCTCAGAGATACTCTTGGCCTTTTGGTAAATCCTTCATTTTCTCCTGCCTCACTTGACCTTTTTCCTTGGCATCCATGCATGATTCTTTATTCTTCAATTCAGTTTGAGCATTAAAGCCCTGTAGCTATTCCCTGCTTAACAGTCCCTTCAGATTTCAGTATAGAGTATACAGTTTTTCTCTTGACATTATTCTCTACCAACCTCTTTGCTGCCAAAAAATGGTGACCTAGTTTAAGTAGGTTTTTATGATGACAGCTTTCCTCATTTCTTGAAATATTAGATACTTTCCCAGTAGTTATTTCACTTTTTAAGAAATAATAAGTTATTACTGTGTAATAAATGTAGGTTCTGTCACCATGATAATAAATTGTATAATTCTTTTTTTTATCCTTTACAAAAAGCAAAAAAGTGCTAACAATCTTGAAGTTCTGTTCTCCCTTTCCTGTCCTTATATAGGGGGGTGTTGTTCCCTTTACAATGCCTCACTGAAACATCCCTCACAGCACTTCACTTGCCTACCTGTAAAGAGGGTCAATGATATTTTAACACAGAATCACCATAAGCGTAGCAAAAGCAACCAAAAGCATATTTTTTCAAGCTGTTGACTTGTTTGACTCCTACTTACCTCCTCTCTGAATGAGCACAACTTTCCCTTTGTCTGTGTGCCATTCCCTCAAACCCAATGCTATCACATACTCAAGATCACTCTTAACATGGCAAAAGATAAATCTGTTAGCTGATGTTTACTCATATGCTAATAACTTACAGTGATACCGCTCACAAGAGAACCTGATAGAAGAAGGTAATATTTAATTCAAATATATTACTTTCACTGGGAAATCCAGGCTCTGTGACATGTTTCAGGAAATAAATTGAAAGCAGAGGTAACTTGCAAATTGTACCACATAGGTGACTGATTTCTGCATCCTCATGTAAGTCTGACCAAGAGCCCAATTTAAACAAGTCCTTGTTTCACTTTCTCTATAGACACATCCATATTCTAGGAAGCTTGCATCTCCTATCAGGCAAAGGCAGCTCATTTCCTATTTCTCATTACCTCTCTACTGAAATAAAAACAGAGCCTAGTGACACTTATCATACACCTTGGGATTTTTGGAATGCAGACAATAATCAACTATGAAGAATTGGCTAACATAGCTCCTAATTATTAACTCTGCCACATTTTGATTGTTCAATAAATTTAAGAACATAAACTAAAATGGAAAGGATATGAATTCCAGGTAGAATACAATACAAATTTATAGAGTTTTGCAAAACCCTTGCCCCTTGCAAATAAATTTACATGCCCTTCAGCCTGAGACATAGTGGCATCTGAACAGTCTCAGGGATTAACAGTTTTAAATTCTGGTTGGACTCCAGGTGCCAGCTGTACAATACCACCATCCTTCTTTAATAGAAAGTTATAAGTATCCAGAATTCACAGGAGTCTGGCTGGCTTCTATCCAGGACAAGAATGTAGAGGAGAGGTAATCAATATGCCCCAGCCTGTCCTGCAAGGTTTATTTTTAAGATTACTTTCAGTTATGGTAGGGTCTTTGTGAAATAGATCATCCTTACAGAGTAAAGCAGATCCATGGAGGTGTCCTGGATGGGTCTTCAGGGAACCAGAGCAAAATGTCAAGAAGCCCTCGAAGTCTCTGTTTTTATTTTATGAGGAGTAGAGGGTCGATAGTAGTGATTGGTAGAGCCCATTTGATGAAAAGGTCCATAACATGGGAGGATGCTTCCAGCAGTGATTGGCAGAGGGACCAGGTTGCAGCTTAGAGGCAAGAATTAAAGTTGCATAAGCAACACAAGCTGAGCCCAAACACTGGGTAATCTAGAAATAGCCTTGTCAGAAAAGCCATGCTGGAGAGAATTACAGAAATCAATTTTGGTTGCAAGCAAAGCCTTGTTTAAAATTTCAGCTTGCTAGATACTAACAACTATGAGAGATTCTTCGATTCAAGAAAATTGGAGGCAAATGCTTTGGGATACTACTGTGTGATTGACATGGTTGAGTTCCAGGAGAGAAATGTGGTGTCTTTGTAATGAGGTTGAGAAAAATCTTCCCATACTGCTACACCATAGTTTCTACTATCACTGTAAATATTACTAGTAGGTGAAATTAAAATGTTTATGAAAGTACTTTATAAACTTTAAAGCATTTACATTTGTAAATAGTTGCTATCCGTTTACTACAACATTAATTTAGTCTCTAAGAATTAGTAGAATTAGTGGAATCTTTTTTTAAGTCAATAACAGCTTGTGGTAGGTTAGAGTCTATTTTGTGACAACTGAAAAACTTAAGTAATAGAGAACAATTATAATAGGACAGCTTTTTGTGGTGACGAGAAATACAGATAGAAACTATTGGAAGTTTATTTAACTCTTGATCCTGACCAGATAGAATATGCACAAAGGCTAATTTGACTAAAGTACCTCCTCATAAACTCTGGATCATATGGGAAATTTCTTGTTTCCATTGTTTTTAGTTACTACAGCTCATCTCTACCTTCAATGCTTATGTTTATCTGTCAGCTTGTGAACCCACTCACTTCATCCTGCAATTCCTTCTATGTTTGGAGCCAATTTACAACCAAGTCTGCTTTGATTTCACCTTCATCTTCAGTATAACTTTTAACCCATTTGCAATCTGGCCTTTATCCCCATAATTACACTGCAATCAAATATCTCCAAACTTACCAGTTGTTTCTTCTGCATCACATTCTTTTCCACTCTGGATGACATTAAATGTTTTGATCTCCTGCCTCCCTTTTAAGAACTGGTTCTTATCTAACCTCTACAATTGTTTCCTCTCTTCCTTATTTAAATCTTCTAGAGGTCTTTTTCCCTCCTACCCACCTGCTGTCATTCATGCTTTAGTTTTTGACCCTACTCTAACTGCCCTCTGTCTTTTCTCCTTCAAAAAATTTATCTACTCTTGAGGGTGCAATCACCATCTTTATCTTCCAAATATTATATGGCAGTTAACAAATCTTGTACATCTCTGCCTATTAATCTTCAAAAACCACTGCTTTGTTCATGTTGTTCTCCATTTTTAAGAGATAACACATATGCCTGGATTCATTTCTTCTAATCACATTGTTCTCATTTCCTTAATTACATGTTATTATCATTCTCTGCTCCTGAAATATTATCCCTGTTTTTGCCATTAATACAAATTATGGACTTCTCTGAGACCCATCCTCCACAGTTGACCTCTTCCATGAAGCATGTCTTGATAAATCCTAGTCCAACAATGATATGGCCTCATTAAACGTTTCTACCACTTTTCTATGCCACACAATCATTACCTTTTATTATCTAGTTTATCTAGATCATCAGTCTCAAAATATAACACATTGCATGATCCCATTCATATGATAGTTTCACAAAAACAAAGCTACAGTGATAAAGAACAGATCAGTGGCTGCCAAGGGTTGGGGGGAGACTATGACTATGAAGGGATAGCACAAGGGGCTTTTAGGGGTGATAGAACTGTTCTGAATCCTGATTGTGGAGGTCATTACACAAATCTATTCATGTGTTAAAATTCATAGAACTTTACATCTAAAAAGTCAACTTTACTGTGTGATCATTTGAAAAATAAAATTTTAAAAGGAGTTAGGGCTCTGGATAATGTTTTCATCTCTTTTTTTCATTTTGAAAACTTTGGAATAATAAAGGAGGCTCGTTAAAGACTAGAGCTGGTCTGTGGATAAAGTTTTTAAATGTCGGACTTATCTTCTGGGTTCTGTATGGCTCCACAATGAGGGTGTGGGCACATGTATATAGGCCATAACTGTGAAAAAAAAAGCATGAAGTAAATTAGAGTTTTACAATAAGTGCCACTCGGCCAATTTAGCAAATAGGCAAAAGCAATCCTCCCAAAATATCCTCTCATAGATTGTAGCTATGAGTGACCATGACTGTAAAAAGAAAGCTAAAAGTTAAGAGAAAGGCACCCAGTATCAACTCTGAAGGTGATAGAACTTAGGAGGCATCTCAGGTCACAATTCTTCCTCTTAACCCTAGGTCATTAATAATTGGTAGAGTCTGATTTCACCAAGATTCTATAGCCTATCTGTGTTTTGGGGTTGGGTGGTAGGGGGGGTTCTTGTTTGTTTGTTTTTGTTTCTGTTTTGAGACAGGGTCTCACTTTGTCACACAGGCTGGAGTGCAGTCCCAATTTTGGTTCACTGCAGCCTCCAACCTCCTGTGCTCAAGAGATCCTCCCACCTCAGCCCCCAAAATAGCTAGGACTATAGGCACATGCCACCACGCCTGGCTAATTTTTTCTATTTTTTGTAGAGACGGAGTTTTGCCATATTGCCCAGGCTGTTCTCAAACTCCTGAGCCCAAGCAATCCACTTGCATTGGCCTCCCAAAGCGCCAGGATTACAGGCATGAGCCACCACACCTGGCCTGTGACTTTATTTCTTATCTTGATAGAAGCAATTATATTTTTATACTGCCACAGAACAAATAAAACAGTGACTTGTTTCACAATTTATGCAGCTGACTTCATGTACTTTTTGACAACATGGTCATGTCTCTGAATTACAAATTTTTCTCCTTCTGCAGTTTGGGGTCTGGTGGGGGATGAGAGGAATATGTTATCTGTAATTCCCCCTCTGATGTTAGATTAATGGTTAAGTGCCTGACCTGGGGTGAGCTTTACCAAAAACATTCAGTCTTCAGTCTTCAGTCTTTTACAAGTCTCCTATAATCTTCTTCAATCAAAAGTTACCACCTCAGGGACATTGCCTTCTTTGCAGGCAGCTAGAACTTCCACAACTTTTTGTTAGGCAGAACTTTTCTAACCCAAGGCATGATCAATATATTTTAAAACTAGAGGCAGTCCCCTTTGCTAAGGTTATCTGCAACCATTTCTTTTATTGCCACTCACAGTTGGAGATTTTCTTATTGAAATGTAATCAGCACCATGATAGCCTTGCCACTCTCGAAGCTCCCAGTGATCTCTTCAGAACCTTGAAGTTCTCCTCCTTGAGGAAGGCCGGATCAAGCAATGGCCCCAGGCTCTCTGTGGGACACCTCAGATATTATGTGATGGGCACTTGCCCCTCTTGAAGCATCTCATCCAGGCTTGCTATTCAAGGTTCAAATGCTTCCTTCCCAGGAACAAAAAAAGGCCTGAATATAGTCTCTTTTACAGACACTGGGTTCAATCAGAGGAGAGCTTTTTTGCCTGTAGAATGCCTCGTTTCAAGGCTTTGGGCTTGACAACCATCATGTCAAGGAGCCACTCAAAGGCCCAGCATATCAATACTAACTCTCACCTCTACCTCAAGCAGTATTTCCGCATTCATATGGGCACTGTCCCAAAACCATTTTCTCAAAAAGCTCTGAGGAAGTTGAGGAAGGTTTATTTAACTACCTCCAGGAGTTTACTCTTGGTAGTTTTCTTAACTACCCATTAGGTATTAAAGCTGGCTCTGTTACCATTGGCAGGCTATATAACCCTATTAGAGAATTGTCATAAAGCAAAAAAGCTAAGCCAGAGAGTACCAGGCTTTGCACAACTTTGAGATTATTCTTAATGCCCCACTGCTCATGGCAAAGTACACCCCTAAATTGCCAGGTAGCACCTCCCTAGCCTCCCTGTTGGAGAATTAGCACAATAGCAATGGAAGAGAAACAATATCGAAGAGACAAAATTAGAGTAAACATATTGCTCAGCATCCCAAGAGGGATCTCCAACTAACGAGGGATGATTCCTTACCCTTTAGAGGGAAAATTCTGAAGCATATTTTATACAGTCTCCCAGAGGTGCCATGACAAGACTGAGCCTCCATTGCCCACAGAGGAAACCCACACATTAATATATGATTCACTGGCTTTCCCTTCCATCCCTCACTTCCTCACTCCCTCACAATGCTTCCTGAAGTAACCTTCAAAATAAATTCCTTGTGTCTAATTTATCAGAGTATTTGTTTGGAGCAAAATAATTTAACACAGTGTCTGCGTCTCATACACAAATTCTTTGTGATTTCAACTTTCCAGGCTTCCTGCTGATTGGATGTGATTTATTTTTATTCAAAGAATATTTATAGACAGCAGCAATTTTACATTATGCATGCCCCTGCATCTTTGGAATTCTTAGATTACAAAGAGAAATAGGAGCTGAAAATTAAATACACACACACACGTATTAGAATGTGTAAAATAGGAGTAATAAAAAAGTTGTAAACGTGAGAGGCACAAAGAAGGAGCTCAGAGGACCAGGATAGAAGGACTAAAGGAGCTGACAGTGGAGCAGGACCTTAAAGTGTAGCAGGAATGCAACATCCGAAAGTCCAAAAGAAGTTCCAGGCAGAGGAAAGGATGAGTGAAGACACTAAGTCAGGAAAGCACAAGGTGTGTGTAGGAAACAATGAGTAGTTCCGCTCATTCCAAGTACAATATATGTACAAGTAGTGAAAGATTAAAATGGGAAGGTAGGGTATTGTCAGTTCATGGATTCCCAATCTATGCAGGGTATTGGGAAAGCAATAGCTTACCATTAAAAATATTGGAAAAAAATAATAGAAATATCATATCTTTCATGTCTCAGTTTATCAGTTGAGGTATATTTACCTTTACCCCTTTACATCACTGACCCTACTTCTCACTCTATCAAGGCTTCCTGCTTTTTTTCCCTTCATAGCATTATTATAATATGATGTTGTTTTTTATTAATTTCTATCTTATTTCTCTCCCTCAGTGACATGTAAGTTCTCAAATGACCTATTTAATACTATGCATTTAGTGAATTTTATAGCATCTTCCAAATAGTAGGTGCTCAATTTAAATATGTTGAATATATGAATGAATGAGTGGTCATGTTTTCTAATGGTTCTGACACTTTATCTGATATTTCTCTGACAAAAGACTAAGCACACTTTACTTTCTCCTCCTCTCATACAGTGTATTCAAACTCAGATCAAACCTACAATGTCCCAGGCTTCCAGACTCACACAGATTTAACTTTAATTATGGTTATATGTGATTTGAGAATGTGCCAAGAGACTCACCTGACAGCCTCTACTATTCTATTTAATCAAACTTGAACAAAGGACGTGGCTATTTACTCTCTTGGTGCACGTGAAGTTCCAGGCTGGAAGGTTTTTGTTGAGAGCCTGGCTGCCTGATGTGCAGAACTGGTCCTTCCACCAGGTAGGGATTTCCTGCCACTTAATAGGTTAACCTAGATGAGTAAAGGAAGGCAATGTGGCATGCTTTTTTTCTGTTTGTTACAAGTTTTCTATTGTTCTAGCCAGGCGTATGTCTCTATAATCCATACACCCTTGGTTAGAACACAAGTCTTTGTATTTTTGATATTGACTCTTAACATTAGACACTGAGTGTGCTATAGGAACCTGAGTCTCTCATTTCCAAAATAAAGAAAGGATTCATGTCAACCCAGAGGAACAACTTCCCAAGGCTTACTACAAAAGAATGAAACTCGAGCAGACAGACGGCATCTGTGACTACCTGGCCTGAGCATAGGTCATTCCTCCAACAGCACAAGAATGACCTCAACACATTATTGCAACCCTCTTAGGCAAGAGAATGTGTCAAAACTGGCAGCTCCACCAACTCGGCTAGAAAGGCAACACATCAAAAAATAATTGGTGCAGCTAAAGAGGAAGAGGGTGCTTCTCTCTAAGCAGAACCCAGAGTGACATGCACAGGAACTCAAAGAAAATCAGGGTAGTTAATCACTAGCCATCTTTAACAATAGCAGTGATCAAAACAGAGAGAAAAATAGAAAAAGGATATCTCAAGTTAAATGTAAACAACAAAAAAAATGGCTAGATAAAAGGGAAGAGGGATGAGAATAATCTTGATTTCATTCTGAAAATGCAGCCTTTCCAGCTTCCATTGTTCATGGCCTCATGTTTCAACAGTCCTACCAGTGTCTCCTGTTTTCAATTTTCCAGCCCAGACTCCCAAATGCTTCCCTGTTAATCCATCCTCCTTCTTTTTTTACTTCTCTTTTTCTGTATCCTCTTTCCCTTCTTTTCCCTTTCTCCTCCCTGTCACCCCATACTTGTTAAAATCGTTATTTGCATATACTATTCATAATAACTTCATTTTGTAGCAAAGTGACTTACATGGGGGGGGGCACTTTTGATAAATATTCATTTAAGATTACTTTTCTCCCTCTTTTGCCACAGCTCCCCGCCCCACTAACCCATGGAGCCACCATTCTTTTTGTAGTTCACAAAACGAATGAAGTGCAAGGATTTCACTTCAGTAAGAAACAGGAATCAGGACTTTTGTCACTGACTTTCATGAACTGGGCTTCCAACTTTTAAATGTGGTGCATAATTGACACTTTGATACTTTTAGGCTATGGTGTATTCTCACACTCTCGTGGGGAAAAAATACTTGCTGACACAATCAGGAAACAGATGGTGACAAAGATCTTATACTTTGGTGCCAATCAATATGTTTTACTTGCCACTACTAAAATCTCATTTGTAGGACCCAGGAATTTAAAGGAATTTTTCTGTTCTTTTTTTCTATCCTTTAAAGACTATTTTTAAGATTCTTCAGGGCTTAAAAGTTTTATTTCATTTTTCCTTTTCAGTTTTATTAATGCAATTCTAGAAGGGTTTTAGCTTGTATCTGCCAAAAAAAAAAAAATAGTGAATTTAAAGTGTTTTCTTCTTTATTGTCAGTGACAGAATAATTCTCTTAACCCTTTCCCCTAACATTCAAACACCTCCCCTTGAGTATAACTACACTAGCCTTGAATAAATAATGTTTTGGAGAATGATGAATTCTGCAATTGTGCAATGAGATAGCAACAAAAATGCTTATTCCCATCCCTTCATAACTGTTCGTTTACAAAACAGTGACTACCTATCAACCAATCAAGTGAACAAAAGGAGTATTTCTAGAAGGGGTAGACAATAATATTTTAATCAGAATACAAAAAAATGAGTTGGAACTTTATGAGGAAAAATAATCAGATATCATATCTGATTGGGAACTCCTCCAACAAACCAAGTTTCTGAAAGGCAGGGATAATGTTTTATGCTACTTCAGGGCCCACACAGCCATATTTAACAAATATTTGCTAAGTTGAATCTGTAGCAGTCTGTGAACTGGCTAGATAGATGTACACCAAAAGAACACCCCCTTGTTTATGGAACCCTAATATCCTTGATTTGCATTGTGACTTTGAGAGTTTGGAATGCCTAGAAATGTATAGGTAAGTTCATCTTTATGCAGCGTCAGCCTAGGCAACTATTGGAGCCAGATTTAATTAGGTATCTTTTCTTTCATTGTACTTTTCTCCTCCATGTTCAAATTGGTTATTAATATCTTGCAAATAATTTAAAAATATTTGTTGTGCATGAACTTTATGGAGGATACAGAGGAAGAAAATTGCAATGTGTTTATCATACACTTCATGACAACCGCACATGAACTATATAACTTAACCCTCAAAACAACTGTGCAAGGGAACTGTTATCATTATTCCCATTTCAAAATGAGGGAACAAAGACTCAGAAATATTAATTAGCTAGCCTAACCCTATACAGATTGTGACATAGCTGGAATATAATCCTAAATCTATCTGGCTACAATGTCTATTGCACAGGCAGACTAATTTTACTTTAATTTCCTTGAGTCTACACCAGCCGTATGCTCCTATTTCTAAGATCACAAACAAGTCATTACTTCTAAACTCTCAGTTACTTCTCTAGTAGCTTACCCAGCAAGGTTTTTGGCTCTGACATCCTAAAAGAGCTCTTCTGATACAGGTTTGGTTTTCATCCTTATTCCCAGTCCTTCGCAGAAGTTCATAAAAAGTCTGAAAGTGTCCCAATCTAACTCTATAAATCAGACTTCCTAAAAAATTCTGTAAACCCTAAACTGATTACAATCTTTCATAGAAACAAATGCATGACACAAACATCATGTAATTCTTCTGCTCAAAACCTTCCAATAAATCACCATTTTCTTCAAAGCAAAAAAGCTTTGGCTTTCCAACGGCCTATAAGGCATTGTAGTATCTGGGCCCTCCTCCATTACTTTTCTGATGGTCCCTCCTACTATTTTCTCCCTGGCTCATGGTTCTCTGGCCACGCTTCCTTCCATGAGTTTCAGTCTTGCTCCCACATCAGGGCCTTTGCATTGACTCTTCCTCCTACATGCTGCATTCTTCACCAACTACACAGATAGCTCACTCCCTTTTCTCCTTCAAGTCTTTCTTTGAAAGTCACCTCCTCAGTGATATCTGCCCTCATCCTCCCATTTAAAATTGTAACCAAACATAAGCAAGAGTTCTTAATCTCCTTTACCCTGTTAGGCTTTTTTTGGTAATATTTATCAATTTCTAACATACTTTATATTTTAATTATCTCTTAGGCTCACTATTCATTATCTGTATCCTGCACTGGAAGTAAGTTGCGCAAGGGCAGGAATTGTTTTAAATTTTGCACGTGAACATATCTGAAGCATATAAAACAATGTAAATAATAGGTACTCCATAAATGAATAGCTACACATGTAAACACATATATATTTGTGTGCTCTCAAACATCTGAATTTCTCAGGAGGAGGAGCACAAAACAATAATAAGAATTATAATTATCTGGTTTATGAATTTAGATTCTATCCACATGACTTCATATTTCTTTTGCATGAAAAAATCCAACAAGAATAGTCAAAGATCCAGCTGCACACGTCTTCAAAAGGCCGTTAGATATCATATGCATTTTATTTTATAATAAATTGACTTATTTGAATTAGAAACCTCAAAGTTCATGTATCAGGGGGAAAATCTCTCACATAAACTGAAAAGTATATAGAGATCAACATAAAAAGGCCATCCAGACTCTACTTTGTTTTTTCATCTGTCTGTTCATTATTGAGTTTCCTGCTGCCTCTTTAAGTCTGTGCTATTCTCTTAGGTGTAGCGCTTTATTTCTCCCAACTCAAGAGGAAAACAGTCTCCCATCAAACATGGTCTGTGGCTCAGACTTCCTTAAGCACTGCACCAGATTTATTGCTAGCTTCATCACTTATCAATAAAACCAGCTTACACACCTTGCTCTATCTCGACAGCCGTTTCTCCAGACATCAGGAACCAAGGTTTACAAAGACTCTCTCGACTTTATCTGGGCTCTGTGATGTACAATATCATGGCAACGAGGCATTTTCTCTTTGTTCTGGGGAAACTTGAGCCATAATGTGCCAGACTGGTGTTCATGCTGATTGTGATAAAGAGCCACACACTCGAGCATTTTCTCTCACTCTCCTCTCTTCTTTTTTCTCTCCTCTCTCTCTCTTTTAAAGAAACAGGTGTTGGCATGGATTAGAGAAAAATTACATCATCTCAAAGAGAAGAGGAGGAATGGAAAGGAGAAAAAAATAGGGGAAAAAGTGGCAACCAGACCCAAATACATTTGCACATATAAAGCTGTTCTAATGAGAGCCAAATTGATTTGACATTCAGTGGCAGTTTGAAGCCAAGAAAAGCAAAGCAGCCTACAAAAGGCCTAGCTCATTGTTTATGGAGTGTCATACTCTATCATCTGTGAGACCAATAACAGGGATGGGAAGACCTTTAAAGGCAGGGTGTGTGCTGGGAAGGGCTGCGTAGATACCACCAATGTCAGATCTGATAGACGGATTGTACATGGCTTCCTGAGCTGAGATGATGTTTGTCAGATAAGGCAGATATCCTCTGCAGATTACACATTAGCTAGCAAATTTGTAAAGTGTTAGCATTCTTTGAGGATGTGTGCTATGCTCAGGGAGGCACATTTTGTGTGGGTCTAGGGGAAAACATTCTCATAAAGCTATTAACCAACAGAAGAAGGTAATGAATTACATGTCTTTCAAATGGAACCATATGCATGATATTGTAAAAGCATCATAACCATCACAAATAAGGATGGTCCCTTCACAGCCAGTAATATACATTGCAGGTATGCATATGTATACAGTTCACAGCATGAAGAAAGTCATATTAAAATAGAAATTATTTCCATTAACCTTATTTTTCAAAAAAGAAGCTATATAAATGTTTGGTCATTTCAATACTGTTAACTGGCCAGGGATTTGGTATTCTGCAGCTCATTGTTTAAAATACCTATAGAGGAATGAGGTGTTTATTAAATGTCAGCACATGACAAGGTGGATTAAATAAGTCTTCCTAGAAATATGTGAAATGCTAGAGTGTTACAGTCTGTGTAAAAATAAGAGTTTTCTTTCTCCCTATCCTCAAGCCTCAAGCCCAGCCTAACTATTACTCTGATATTAGATTCTGTATATGATTCAGACATTAGTGTTTACTTTTGGACTTCACAAAGGAAAGCTGATTTCATTGCAGAGTATTGATGAGTGATCTCAAGTCAAAAATTTCTGCCTCTTTTATCTCAATTTTCTAAACACTCATAGGGCTAAGAATAGAATTTGACCTTAAGTAATTTAGACTTCACAGTGTCTCTCCAGTGTGAATTTTATAGCAGTATAAAATAGTGCATATATAAGACAAGGAGAAAATACCAAAATGGTGTTGCAGGGAGCATATTAATATATCATGAATAACCAGAACTCCTATGAATTTAAACTTATACATCTTTAATATAAATTCAAAAAGATAAAATGAAAAGAATTATTGTTGAAAGGAAAAATAATAGCACAAATTGAGATTTTATTATTCACATTTATCTTGTACAGCCGTAAGATGCTTACTTGATATTCTTTGGGACTCAATATGGCTTGATGTTCCTTTGCCCCATATGATGCTGAGGGTCATGGGTGGGAGAAAGTTGAATAATTACATGTAAAAAACAATTGGAAGAGTTTACCAAGACCTCTGACCCAAGTTACTTGCATTCAGATAGTGAGTTACAGATATTTTATAGCACCCTTTTGGAGCATAAACACCTTATTCTGAGCAAAACCAGAATCCCTTAGCCTGTACCCTGTGCAGTATATAAGAATTAAAGCTAGGGCCACGGCCAGGCTGAGACACAATGTTTGACGCTCAGCTTCTCTTCCTTCTTGTCACCACCACACCAATGGAATCAACATAAGGAATTCAATTCTACAGACATTTACTGTGCCCACATTGGCTTGATGCTGGGGATACATAGTTAAATAAGACCTTATTCCTTACACTTACAAAGCTTTATCAAAATGTGCAGAGTATTAGGCAAGAATCCCTCTTGCTCCCTTGAGATCTCAGGCCCTCTCACCACCATCTGAGCGCATGCCATCTGGTTGCATAACTATATGCCTCACTGAACAGAAAGATAAACATTTCTTAATAGGGATCTGATGGAGCCGGAGACTCAGAGAGTCTAAGTGAACAAGTATGAAAACCTTAAATTAAAACTCAGCCACCTTCGCATATGGATCATGTGGCCAAGGAAAATAGGGGTTCAAAATAATAACTTCTAACTAATTGTATAGTGCTCGTTTTCAAAATGACTTCACATAAGTGATTTTCTTAGATAATGTGAAACAATTTGGTAACTTGATGGGACGATTAGGATGTGCATGTGAGGGAAGATGTATGAATGATAGTTATATTCAATCTAAGAGAAAGACCTGGCTTGTGTGGACCCCATAGAGAATTCATCCAAAAGACAAAGATTCTTCAGGAAGTACCCTGGCTCTCTAGGTAAGATTTGGGCCCCATGTTTATTTTGGGATATAATTTCTATGAATAGCAATAACCATATAAAAATGATTTATATTCTTCTATATGTAGGTATTTCATGGCTTTGAGAAACATTTTAAGCATAACTTGGGTTAAGTTGATTAAGACAGTCTATGTGTTCTATAAAGCAGAGCAATTAACATGATTATCACTTCTGAGTCTTTGTCATATAAACTGATTCCCGCTAATTTTTTAAGCTAACGTAGCTGTCAGAATAATTCTGCCCTCTTTGGATTAATAATTAATAGTAACAAGCCTGGGTTGAAGTATTGTTTCTGCCTCTTACTAGCTAGAAAACCTTAAACAATTTAATTATCCCTTCTGTATCTTAATTTCTGCATCTGTAAAATGGGGATAATAAAAGAGGAACTATGAGCAATGGAAAGGGTGAATCTAAATGAATATTAGCTTATAAAACAATAATAATGTTTTGATTACAAGGTAGAAAAATTACAGGCATGAGCCGGGTGTGGTGGCTCAAGCCTGTAATCCTAGCACTTTGGGAGGCCGAGGTGGGTGGATCACCCGAGGTCAGGAGTTCAAGACCAGTTTTACCAGAATTTTTTTCCCCTAGACCCACACAAAATGTGCCTCCCTGAGCATAGCACACATCCTCAAAGAATGCTAACACTTTACAAATTTGCTAGAGACACCATCTCTACAAAAAAATACAAAAATTAGGCAGGCATGATGGCGGGTGCCTATAACCCCAGCTACTCAGGAGGCTGAGGCAGGAGAATCACTTGAACCCAAGAGGCAGAGGTTGCAGTAAGCAGAGATTGAGCCACTGAACTCCAGCCTGGGAGACAGAGCAAGACTCTGTCTCAAAAAAAATAAAAAATAAATAAATAATTAAAAATAACAGAGAAACTATAAAGATTAAACCAAAAAAAATTGGTAGAAGCCACACAGCACATATTAAACTAATAATGCCAACAACGATAAGTTTTAATTTCAGAAATAATCCTAATAATGTATTTTTTAAAATTCAATAACTGTTCCACTGAATTTGTAGTGAAAATTTTCCTTTTCAATTTTGGAACCCCTGTTTATTTAGTGTTGATGGTAACATTAGGGAAAGATGAAGAATGGTGGAAGAAAGTTTCTGATCATCTCTCCTCATCGAATCAAATGACATTCCTTTAAAAAATTCTGGATTGTATCTTTTTTTTTTTTTTTGAAATACATTCGTGTTCTGTTGCCCGGGCTGGAGTGCAGTGGTGCGATCTCAGCTCACTGCAACCTCTGCTTCCCTACTTCAAGGGATTCTCCTGCCTCAGCCTCCCCAGTAGCTGGAACTATAGGCACACACTGCCACGCCTGGCTAAAAAGTGTTGGATTGTTTCCACATACATCATATTCTTCTACCTACATGTGTATTTGTTGGCACATGAATATGTGGTTTTCCATATTGGCCTTATCATAGCCTGTTTTTTGGTGTAAAATGTTATCACATCACCTCTTTGTGGGTTTCTCATTACGTATGTTGTCACTGCCTTTCTTCACAGGCCATGGCATGTCTTTCTGTAAAGTTGGTCACCCCATCATTGGTTGAATCATTCCAAAACTTAATAGCAAATATTACAAATATGCTGCTCTGTGACAGAAGCAAAAACTATAGAGAAATATATATATTCATTTCCTCAATTTTGTTTAGAAGCCCTCTACTGAGCCTAAACACAATGACAGTAGTTACTCTAACCAGGTGCCAAGAAGTAGGTATTAATACCATCTCTATGCGGGAGTTAAGTAGGAAGGGGTGTAGAACAGAAGAGATGAATCATATAGCTATTACGGGGCCACGCCAAGATTAGCTCCAGTCTCTCATGCCCTTAACCCCAGCGGCACATCCTCTTGGGATTATGTCTATACTGTTACCTCACATGGATAATAGCCTTGTGTAGTTGAGCTATAATGGACATCTCCCAGAGGCAACAAACTGGCTGCCCTTTCAGATCCAACAATTAGTGATTGCAAATCTGTGGCATGTGCAGCTCCACAACCTGAAGTTTTACAGAGAGAAAGTAGACCATTGATACATTCTTTGCACACATTTCCATTTATATGGATTAGTGGAACTTGTTGTATTTTTTGGTAATGATAAAGTTTAGATAAAATACCTTTATGCTCACTAAACATAAAATTAATGATAAAAAACATAATGATATATATAAAAAACATTCATTGATGTGCACGAACCTCACCAGAAATCTCACATTCTACTTTTAAATTTACCAATACATAATTAATTGGGGCCTTTCAAGTAGTTCACATGACTATGCTGAACAGAAGCTACTGTCTAAATAAGTTTATAATGTGACATTACTAAGCACTTGGCAGAGCTCTTTTGCCACTATTTCTTTCCCCATCTCCCTCTCAATTACTTTGCACACAATGCCATGTTGAGAAATGGCATGTGAAATAACAGAAGACACCTGATTTTAAACTGATACAAGAGTTTGGCACTCTAAAAGAGATAGTTTACTGTTGGATCTCAATTAGCTAAAAGAAAAAAAAAGCCTTATGTTCCTTCCCAAACCAAAGGGATGTATTTCTATTATTTGGCAAGCTAGAGCAGGTTCGTCATTTCTGACTCGGTCACAGGACATTTATCACATTGAAGTCTCATATATTTGAAACTTTGGTTCTCTGGCAAGCACAAGTAGATCATAGCTCATAACATTGAAACAGCAACAAAAAAATGGCTGTGATTAAAGAAAATGTCACAAAATTCATCATCATAACTTATGCATAGGGGTTGAACTCTCAGAACATATTTATACTTGATTTTTCTCTAGTCCAAAAGAATCTGTTTTTACAATTTCCAGTCCCACAGCAGATTAGATGCAACAAATTAATTAGTTATTTGTTATTTGTGGGTGCACTGAGAGCACTACAATGTGCTGGTTGGTGGTCTGATAGCAAGAGGAAACGTGGAGAGATGTAAAAACAGACAAAACTCTAACTATACTCCCACCTGGGGCCATTCAGCATTGGAGCAAGCAGCCACTCACAAATCAAACCACACAATATTACGTGGATCATTAATATATTACGGAAAACTATAATTTACATCCACAATGATTACCTTGTGTAAATAGGATGCCACAAAAATTTTGTTGAGTATATTCTTATTCTGTATAAGAAGGTAAAACAAGTTTCTAATATTAAAAAAATTCCCACATGAAATGCTTCAAATATCATCTTAGTTTTCATATTTAAAGGATAAACACTAAAATAACCAGAATACCCGAACACACAAAAAAGTACGCATTCCCTGTGGGCTCTAGACTATTGTGATTTTATTAAACATAATTGTTTTTGAAGAATAATACTGGTATGTCTGAACTGGCTGGCGCCCTTAACAGCTCCCTTTCTACCCACAAACAAAGCCAAGGGCTTTCTATAACCACAGTTCTAATACATGTTCCAGAAAATATCTCTAAGCTCCATTTCCTACCCACCCTTCAAAAACCACTAGCTCTAGCTTGGTGTCCCAGTCAGTACCCTGTTGCTTTGTACCCACTTTATGTGTCAATGTTCTGCTTAGTTCCTAACTCTGGCTTCAGCCCTAAATATAATTAGCAATCCCATAGCTTCATGCTTTCAAGTAGTACTGTCTAATAGAAATAAAATGTGAGCCACATATGTAATTTCATAGTGGCCACACTCAAAAAATGAAAAGAAACAGAGACAATAAAATTTGTGATATATTGTCTTTAACTCAATATACTGAAAACAATCATTATAAAAATCTTAATGAGATATTTTACATTCTTTTTTACACTAAGTCTGAAATTTGCTATATATTGAACACTTACAGCATGTCTCATCTTGGACAAGCTACATTTCAAGTGTCCCACAGCTACATGTGGCTAGTGGCTACCATATTGGACAGTGTAGCTCAATAGCCCTTGGACCATGATCACCCTCAACTCCCAGAGCGCCTACCATGGCTGGAGCATCAGATTCCCTGGTGGTCTCTGAGGGTAGTTTGTGCAGTATACCACAAAATTATTCACTAGACTCTCTGTGTATGTATTGGTATGTACCTAATAAACTTATCATTTTAAAACAACTTTGCCATCTATATGTTTTCTGCAAACAGTTTTAAATCCTGTTTTTTTCCAGTTGGCTCTTACATCAACTATATGAGGTAGATAAAGGAGGCATCAATTTCCCCATTTTATAAATAAGAAAATCGAGACTCAGAAAAATTCAGCGGTTTATTCAAGGTGGTTTATTCAATGGGAACTTTGTGATTTCTTTATGGCTCTTTCTGTGCTTTCTTATTATCCTTTAAATCAATCAGAGGACGGGCTGGGTGTGGTGCCTCATGTCTGTAATCCCAGCATTTTGGGAGGCCAAGGCAGGAAGACTCCTTAAGCTCAGGAATTCCAGGACAGACTGGAATTCTGTTCCAGCGCAACATAGTGAGACCCTGTCTCTAAAAAATTTTTTTTTAACTAGCTGGACACGGTGGTGCATGCCTGTGGTCCCAGCTACTTGGGAGGTGGAGGTGGAGGTGGGAGGATCACTTTAGCCCAGGAGGTCAAGGTGGCAGTGAGCTGTGATCACACCACTGCACATCAATCTGGGTGACAGAGCAAGACTCTGCCATACATGCAGCCAACAATCATATGAAAAAAAAAGCTCAACATCACTGATCATTAGAGAAATGCAAATCAAAACCACAATGAGATACCATCTCACACCAGTCAGAATGGCTACTATTAAAAAGTCAAAAAATAACAGATGCTGGCAAGGTTGTGGAGAAAAAGGAACGCTTATACACTGTTGGTAGGAATATAAATCATTTCAGCTATTGTGGAAGACAGTCCTCAAAGACTTAAGGACAGAAATACCACTCAACCCTGAAATCCCATTTCTGGGCATAATAAAGACACATGCATGTGTATGTTCATTGAAGCACTATTCACAATAGCAAATACATGGAAACAAGCTAAATGCCTATCAATGATAGACTAGATAAAGAAAATGTGGTGTATATATACACCATGGAATAGTATGCAACCATAAAAAAAGAACAAGTTCATGTCCTTTGCAAGGACATGGATGGAGCTGGAGGCCATTATCCTTAGCAAAGTAACAAGGAACAGAAAACCATGTTCTCACTTATAAGTGAGAGCTAAATGATGAGAACACATGGACACATAGAGGGGAATAACACACACTGGGGCCTATTGGAGGGTGGAGGGTAAGAGGAGGGAAAAGATCAGGAAAAAAAACTAAGAAATACTAGGCTTAATACCTGGGTGATGAAATAATCTTCACAAAAAAACTTCCATGACACAAGTTTACCTATATAACAAACCTGCACATGTACCCCTGAACTTAAAATAAAAGTTAAAAATAAAAGAAAAAAATGTGGATGGACCTATTTTTTTATTCTTGGATGCAAATTCCCAAAGAATGCAGACATCTAATCAGCAGTATTCATATTCACTCTTTTGAACAATGATATCAACTATGTATTGAAACATGCACAATCAACCCATAGATATCAAGAATTATAAAAGAAAGTCCACATGAAATATGTGGGAAAGAAGTTTTCTCTTCACATATAAGCAGAACTAACAGTTGGGCAATAATTAAATCACATTGAGAAACCTCAAGGACACATAAAAAGGGAAATTCTTTGGGAGGTTTGCTTCTTGTTTATTTTTTAGAAATGAAGTGATCTAAAAAGAGAGGACAAGCTCATTCAGTTATAGCTTTCATCTAATTACCACAAACTCTAATGCAAATTAGACTGTAGGTCTGCTCAATGTACATTTCTGTGCTTGCCAAATTGTGTTTGGCAATGTGGTCAAGCAACAGCAGATGCACACTGGACTGAGTTTTCTTGGGCTGTTCAATAATTAGGAGGACCATGTATTATAATAAACCACATCCCCTTGGCTAAGACTTGGATGCAAATTGCACACTAATTCACTTCCAAGTTTTTTGGAAGCTTTCCAAGAGAGATGAAAATCAGGGAAATATACTGTTTACTTCAGGAAATTTGTTTAAAACTAAATATGGCTCATTTATAAGAGGCGTTGAGGAACTCCATAAGAAATGTAACAATAGCTTTTTTCAAGTTCCACTCAGCAGGAATAAGGATGTGTTAACATGTTCCCTTTGAAGAGCCTTCCTGTGGTACATGCCAGTTCTAACTATCTCCTTATAAATGCATTGGGAGAGTCTAAGTGGAGAATAAACAGCAGTTTTCTATATCTGTAAAATATCAAGTTGCTCAAATGGAGGGTGAAATCAGTTTAGCTAGTGAGACTTAGTCAACATTTTCTGCAACTGACGGATAGGTAGCAGTCTGCCCCCTTAGATCAGAAAGTGAACAAGTTGAAACTTCTGCAAAGCCAAAACATCCATTCTAATAATAAAAACCTGTGCATCATTGCAGCTGGCATTAATCCAGTGATTAAAAACATTATCTAAAATGGAATATAAATAAATTTTAAAGGGCAATTTCTAATAGACCAAATCATATGCCAATTCACTGCATATCTTCATCAACTTGCAGTGAGACGCCATTGTCTCCCAGCAGCAGTCCTATTAACAGGTACTTCCAAGTGTGTTGTTAAGGAGACCTGCACACCTGTCCCCAGCCTCTGTCTCCAGACTCCATTTTTTAAATTATTTGCTTGAGTCCAATACTAACTCAGTCACTGTCTTGGGTCTATGTATGCCAACACAGAGATGCACTGCTGCGATCTTCCTTTCAGGCAGGACTTGCTGCACAACTGTATGGAATCCAGTTAGGAGACGGCCTTCAGCTGTCCTCTTTTTCAAGATCCACCTTAGCTAAAGAGACATACTTTACCTGAGGTCATGTCACTGGGTAACCGAGTAAGGCCACTGAAGACAGTTCAGGGTGACTCTAAGAAGGAATATTTTCTCCAGAGCTCTATTATGCTCAGTTCTTCACCTTTCTTTCATAAATGTCGATCTCCAATAAACACCACAAATTCCATTCATAGTTTGCTTCCAGAAAACCCAGTCTACACCCAAGTTTCTGTCAGTGCCCTTCTGCCCACCCTGGACCTATGACATGAAAGCTAGCATTTGACCATGTCTCCCAATTGGACCAGACACTCCAGTCTCTGATCTTGGTATCCCCTTCAGGATTCACAGTAAATCACTCTTTTTAGGAGAGTCTCCAACTCTTTCAGACCTGATCCAATCAGCCACTTAATATCACTCTTCAGATAAGTGTCTATAGAAATGATGAATACAGACTTCGGCGGTGAATTCATAATTGCAGTAAGTAATCATTTTCTAAATTTTTATTTTGAGACAATCATAGATTCACATGCAGTTGCAAGAAATAATATAGAGAGAACCCATATATCTGTTTACTCAGTTTTCTCCAATGGCAACATCTTGTGTAACTATAACACAGCATCACAACCAGGAAACTGACATAAATATAACCCACTGATATTATTCAAATCTCACTAGTATTATATGCACTCAATTGTGTTTCTGTTTGTATGTAACTCCAGGCAATTGTATCACATGTGTAGGTTCTCATGACCACCACAACAGTCAAGATACAGAACAGTTCCATTATGAGAATTCTTGATGCTACTTTTTGTAGCCACAGCAACCTCCCTCCAAACTCCTCTATCCCTTTAAAATCATTTATCTGTTCTCCATTTCTATAATGTTATCATTTCAAGAATGTTATATGAATGAAATCATGCAGCATATAACCTTTTGAGAGTGGCTTTCCTCACTCAGTAGAAATCCCTTGAGATCCATATCTAAGTTATTGCCTGTATCAATAGTAGTGTTCCATGGAAAGGATGTACCACAGTTTGTTTAAACATTCATTCACTGAAAGACATTTGGGCTACTTTCAGTTTCAGGATAAGTTAAAGCTATGCTGAATATTCTCATACAGGTTTTTGTGTGGACATACATTTTTGTGTCTGGAATAAATGTGTTTGCTGGATCATATGGTAAGCACATGTTCAGCTTTGCAAGAAATTGTCACTTTTTACCAGACTAGCTGTGCCATTTTACATTTCCACAGCAATGAACAGTAATCCAGTTTCTCTGCACAATCGCCAGGGTTTGGTGTGATCACTATTTTTTATTTTAGCCATTCTGTTAGGGATGTGTGATATCTTATTGTTTTAATTTGCCCTTTCCTAAAAGCTAATAATGTTGAGCATCTTTTCATGTGCATCTTTGCCATTTGTATGTATCCTTTTCAGTGAAATGTGTATTCATGTTTTTGCCCATTTTCTAATTGGATCATTTGTTTTTTTACAGCTGGGTTTTGAGATTTATTTCCAGATTCTAATACAAGTTTTCTGTCAAATATATAGTTTGAAAATATTTTTTCTCAGTTTGTAGCTTGTGTTTTCATCTTCTTAATAGAGTCTTTGACAGAGCAAAAGTTTAACATTTTGATAAGGTCCTCTTGATAAGAATTACGTTTTATGTCTTAGAAAGAAATACATGCATATAGCAAAAATAAAATTCAAAAGTCTAAAACTCAAATAATCTATTGATTATAAAATAAATACTATGTGTTTTCAGAGGACAACTGCAAATAATTTTTAAAATCAAGCAGCAGCAAGCTTCACTTTGCAAACTAAGAAAAGTTAGGAACGACAACTAGGATGTATAATAGTAAATATAATTAAGTATTTTATTGAAGAATATTTGCAAATCACCTATTTCCTCCCAATTCAATGTGATTCACGGTTATTTTATAAATGGGGATAGCTTACATTGCATATTTTAAATGAATATTTATTCATTTATTTGTTTAACCAATATTTTGAACATCTCTCACTCCCTTTATTTATTTTTTATTATACTTTAAGTTCCGGGGTACATGTGCAGAACGTGCAGGTTTGTTGGATAGGAACTACAGAAAGTGCCATGGTGGTTTGCTGCACCCATCAACCCGTCATCTACATCAGATATTTCTCCTAAAGCTATCCCTCCCCTAGCCCCCCACGCCCCCAACAGGCCCCAGTGTGTGATGCCCCACCCACCATGTCCATGAGTTATCATTGTTCAACTCCCACTTATGAGCTCTCACTCACTTTCATTCAAAAATCCTAATGATGCAAGTTTACACTGACTCTTCAACCAGTGATGTGATCATTCTTCTATATCATACTACGGTCTTCAAAAGATGTAAAATTATAAACTTCCAATTTTTCTTCCAAATCAGTTCTCAATTTGTTAAAAATTAAGGAATATCATCTAGTTTTATGGTGGAAAAATGTCAGTAGTAGGTGTCAAATGATGTAGTAATTTACAACTGATCAAATGTAAAAATTATTGACAGCACCAAACAATTTAGTTGAGATGAAGTTGAGAAGAATTATGGCTTCCAGAATAGCCTTAAGAATGCTAGATAATATAAGTGGACAATGGAATAAAACATAAAATTGAGTGCAGATGAATGTAAAGTAATATACAATGCCAGGAAATTTTTAAATAATTTGTAGAGGCATTTTAAAATAAAGTATCACTTTTAAAAACAGTTTTTATAGTTATGTTGGCCTACTCATAATAATATTTCTGTTTAGAATTCTGTTTAGAATTCTAAGTTATTTTAAATCACTCAAGAACAAACAAAAATATTATGAGTAGGCCAACATAACTATAAAAAAATGTTTTTAAAAGTGAATGATGCTTTCTACTATGCAAGAATAAAATAACAATGTGGAAAATACTGGAATATTTTTATATTCATTTTTATATTAAGTATATTGCATGGTAAATACTAAAATCAAGCTGGTATTCTTACCTACTAAGGACTAATTTCATCAAGATTATTTTATTTTATTTATTTTATTTTATTTTTTAAGACAAAGTCTTACTCTGTCACCCAGGTTGGAGCACAGTGGTGCAATCATAGCTCAATGCAAGCTCAAACTCCTGGGCTCAAGTGATCCTCCCATCTCAGCCTCCCAAGTAGTTGGAACTACGGGTGCATGCCACCACACTTGGCTAATTTTTAAATTTTTTCAAATAGAGATGAGGTCTCGCTTTGTTGCCCAGGCTGGTCTCAAACTCTGGGGCTTAATCAGTTCTCCACCTCAGCATCCCAACGTGATAAGATTACAGGAATGAACCATTCTGCCTGGCCTTCCTCAAGATTTAATAGCAATAAGCATATTATTAAAAATAACTAAAAGAATGTCATTAAAATAATGTATTGTCTGATAGTCTCGAACTTTGCAAATAGATACCTCCAAAAAGGAGTTTCTGTAAGTGATTGCAACAATAATATGTAAACCTGGTAGATGTGGAGTAGGCACATTTAACTATGCAGACTGGAGAAACAGAGTAAGTCATTCCACAGATATTGACAAACAGATGCAGAGATTAGAAACAGATGCAGAGGAAAACGAAGTATTGCCTGGGTGGCCAATGAATATAAACTCCTTATTCCTAAAGTTTGGTTGTATTCCTGCCCTTGAGTGTTACGTTACGTCCTTATTTATTTATTTATTTACTTATTTTGGCACTTAAAGTATGTTATATCCCGTCATGATAAAGTGATAGGTAATTGGATTTACTCTACTTTTTTAGACAATTAGAAAACCAGACAAAGGAAATTAAATGGAGTGGACATCAGACAATGGAAAAGACTGGTCAGTAATCCCTGAGACAATGGGAATAAATGTTTTGAACTCTATAAGTTCTTGAGCTCACTAATTGAAGAGATTTTTCAGGCCATAGCACAGGGAAGGAATTCAAAACAAAGACTGTAGTCTTGCAGAGTTTAAGGGACAGAATTCAGAGTTTTGAGAAGCCAAAGTGCCTAAAATTTTAAAAGCAAAGTACCCGAGAGGAGAGGAGGTTGCTTACAAGAGAAAGAATAGAGAAAGCTGGGAAGCTACAGAAAGATTCCCCCTTGAGTTCTTGGCTGAATACTGATCTGCACATGAGGGTGAGGCCAGAAAAGGAGCCATTAGAGAAGAGAAAGATCAATCCTGGAAGGCCACATTAGCCGATAATAGGTTCTAATCTCACCAATCAATGTAGAAAGACATCCTAATACATGGGCATGGGGTGTTGCCTTTATAAAGAAAGCACATTAGCCTAGACTAAAGAATGTCTGAACCCTTGCTACCAAAGCTTGAAAAGAAATCCTAAAGGATAAAATTGAGTCCAAGTAATTTAATTGTATCTGAGAACCAAGATCTCAAATATTTAAAGAACTACCTCCCCTGCCAAATCCAGAAAACTATAACATAAAATTCATATGTGCTAGCATCCAATCAAAAATTACCAAGCATGCAAACAAACAGAAAAATATAACCTATGAGAAACAACAATTATTAGAAACATATTAAAAATATACGTATAATAGAATTAGTTCAAAGTAATACTAAAATAGCTAAAATGAATATACTCTATATGTTAAAGAAGGCAGAGGAAAGTATGAACATGTTGGGAGAGAATGGAAGACAAAAAAGGAAAAAAATTCTAAAGGTGAAAAATAAAATATATAAAATAAAAATTATACCAAAGACTATTAAGAGCCTTACAGAAAAGAATAAGCCTTTCAGAAAAAAGATTAGTGGACTTGAAAACAAAGCAATATAAACTATACAAAATGAAACACACAGAGAAAATGGTAAAATAAAAATCAATAGAACATCAGTGGGTTGTGGGAAAATATTAACAAGTCTAACATAAGAAAAATTGAAGTCTTATAAAGGTGGTAGGGAGGGCACGGGTGGGACAGAAAAAAATATTTAAAATAACATGAAAAGATTTCAATTTCATAAATACTAATAAGCCAAAAATCTAAGAAACTCAAGAAAACTCAAGCAGAAGAAAAATTTTAAAAAACTATACAAAGGGATGTGATAATAAAATTAATGTAAACTAGGGGAGAAATCTTAAAAGCAGACAGAGAAGTCAGATTCATAATGCATAAATTGAAAAAAGAATGCAGCATGCTTTTCTTAAGAAACAATGCAAGCCACAAGGAAATAAAAAACATCTTTAAAGTACAAAAACATATATCTGCCAACCTAGAATATCATACCCATAAAGTATATATATATATATATATTTATTTTTAAATGAGGATTAAATAAAGACTTACTCTGATTTAGTAAAGCTGAGAGAATTCATCACCAGCAGACAGGAACTACAGTAAAGATTAAAGGAAGTCCTTTAGGCAGAAGAAAAATAAAACTAGATGGAAATATGCATCTACTCAAAGAAATGAAGATTATAGGCAAGATAAGTATGTGACAAAATATGAAAGACATTTTTTCATCTTTTATCTCTTTAAACCAAAAGTAATAATCATAGATTATGGGGCTTGTAAATGTGGAAGTGAAATTTATTATAAAAATAGCACAAAGACTGAGAGGAGAAAAATAGAAATACAAGATTGCAAATGTCTTATGTCATATGTAAAATGATATAATATTATTTTAAGATAGGCTATGATAAACTAAAAGTACATAATGTAAACCCTATAACAATCATATTAAAATAAAGTGAAGTATAACATGCTAATCATGGGGATAAAACATAATTATTTTTTAAAAGTAATCTGATAAGAAAAAGTAAAAGAGAAAAAAGAAACAAAGAACAAATAAAGTCCAAATAGCAAGATGATAGATTCACATATCAATAATTATCCAACGATTTAAACCCATACAATACTATCATTCAGTGATGGAAATGGTCAGTATTGTGATTGTGGTAATGATTTCATCACTGTGTATATGAGTCAAAACTGATCAGATTGTATACATTAAATATGTACAGTTTGTGTTTCAATTATGTCTTAATGAGTTTGTAAAGTAACCAAAGATAGAAAAGAAAATTCAATTTAAAATGGCCACAAAATATGTATTATTTCTAAATAGCCCAAGTAAAAGGCATGTATCATTAAGATACTTGAAAAAATAAACAATGCCAAACTCTTTAGAGCCACATAGTCTAAAAGAAACTCACTAGACATATAAAGATAGAGATATATTAAAAGATAAAGGATACAGAAAAGATACACCATGAAAACATTAATCAAAAGAAAGCAGAAGTAGTTATACTTATATTAGACAATGTAAACTTCAGAACAATGAATACTACCAGGGATAGAGAGGGTCAATTTCTAATGATTGTGGGGTCAATTTATCATGAAGTATTATCAATTCTATATGTGTACTTATATTTATTGCTGAACTTAATAACAGAGATTCAAAGTATATGACCAAAACCTGATAAAACTAAAAGCAAAAATAGACAAATCCATAATTAGAGATTTCAATATCCCACTCTCAATAACTGATAAACAAATTTGAGAAGCTATCAGTATGGCCATAGAAGACTTGAACAACATTACTAATCAATTTAATCAAGTATATATTTATAGAACACTCTACCAAGCAGTAGCAAAATACATATTCTTTTCAAGTGCACATGAAATGCTTAGGAAGATAGACCATTTTGTGCCATAAAACAAGACACAATAAAATTTTAAAGATTGAAAACATACAAAGTGTGTTCTTCAACCACACTGATTTTAATTAGAAATCAATTTTTTTAATGATACTTGGAAAATCATTGAATACTTGAAGTTAAATGACACATAACTAAGTAAATCCTAGGTCACAGAACAAAATCACAAAGTAAATGAGAAAATATTTTTAGCTGCACAAAAATAGAAATGCAACAAAAATATTGTGAAATGCAGATAAAGCAGTGCTTAGAGAAAAATCTGTGACATTAAATATGTATATTAGGTAGAAAAGGAGGGAAGAAAATCAGTCATCTAGGCTTCTACCTTAAGAAATTAGAAAAATGAGCAAACTAAACTGAAGTAAGAAGAAATAATATCATCAAATTTATAGCACAAGTAAAACTTGAGAGGAAAAGCAAGAAAAATCACAAGAGAAAATCAAGGAACAGAAAACAACAGACAGTATCAAAAGCTGCTTCTTCTAAAAGAACCATAAAACTCCTAACACTCTAACCAGACTGATAAGGTAAAAAAGAGAAAACACAAATTACCAATGTCATAAGTAAGAGAACAAACATCACTACAGGTTCCATAGGCATCAAAAGACTAATAAAGTATTTTAATAAACAACTAGATGCCAACAAATTTGATAACTAAGATAAAATGGAAAATTTATTTGAACGATACAATCTACCAAAACCCACTCAAGTGGAATTAGATAAGCTGAATATTCCTGTATCTGTTAGAGAAATTGAATTTGTAGTTTAAAAACTTCCTATAAAGAAAATCTCAGGCCCAGGTGGCTTCACTAATAAATTCTACCAAACATGTAAGAAGGAAATACAACCAATTCTATACAATCTCTTCCCAAAGGTAGAAA
The DNA here is from genome assembly GCF_000001405.40 of Homo sapiens. Classification (NCBI taxonomy): domain Eukaryota; kingdom Metazoa; phylum Chordata; class Mammalia; order Primates; family Hominidae; genus Homo; species Homo sapiens. The sequence goes on along the minus strand of NC_000015.10, from coordinate 35,610,250 downwards.
AGAGTTCTTTCCAATTCAATGATACAAAAACCAGAAAAAGAAATTACAAGAATGTCTACCTTTACTACTTTAATGCAATATTGCAGTAGAGATTCTACCCAGAGCAATAGAGCAAGAAAAAGAAATAAAAGGCATACAAATTGAAAACGAAGTAAAGCTGTCTACATTTGCAGATAGTATGGCTACTTTTATTGAAAGCCCTAATGAATCTACAAAGAAGCTATGGAGTTAGTAAGCAAATTTAGCAAAGTCACAAGATACAAAGCAATATGCAATTGTATTTCTCTATACTAGCATTGAATAATCAGAAACTAAAATCACAAAAATACAGTGGGCAATTTCTTAAAAAGTTAAAGATTCACATGCCATTCCATTTACAGGTATTTACTCAAGAGAAACAAAACACAGCCATTCCATTTACAGGTATTTACTCAAGAGAAACAAAAGTATATTTCCACACAAAGACTTGTACACAAATGTTCATAAGAGCTTTATTTGTAATAGTCATAAATGAGAAACAACCCAATGTCTATCAATGGGTGAAAGGAGAGAAAATCCTGGTGTATCCATGCAATAAAATACTACTCAGGGATAAAATTAAATGAATTATTCATAACTCAACAACATGGATAAATTTTGAAATCATTATGTTTTGTGAAAAAAGCCTGAAATAAGGATAATATTGGATTATACAGTCTCCATAAAATTCTAGAGCATACAAACTAATATATAATAATGGAAAGTAGGTTAACAGGTATTTGGAGCTAGATGTGGAGAAAGTGATCAACTGCAAAAGGCATGAGGAAATTTTGAAGTTTGATGTAAATATTCTTTTTCTCGACTGTGATGATGGTTGTATAAATAAATAAAAACCTATCAAAATACATATTACATATGTAGTTTATTATACTGCAATAATAGTTCAATAAATGTATGAAATAAGTAACTGTGGGATATAGAACAATAAAGAAAATAATTCAATTAAAAGTTGCATTAAAATATGAAATAGTCATAAATTTAACAAAATATGTATAAGACCTTTACACTGAAAACTACAAAACAGTATTAAAAGAAATTAGAGGTGCTTTAAATAAATACTTATGTTCCATGCTCATGTATCAAAAGAATACATATTGTTAAGATGTCAGTTCCCCACCAAACTAATCTATCGAGTCAGTGCAATCACATTCAAAATTCAACAGGCTTTTTTCAGAAATCGACAAATCAATTCTAAAATATATATGGAAATTCAAAGGGCCTGGAATGTTCAAAACAATTTTGAAAACAAAGAAAAAAGTTGAAGAACTTACACTACCTGATTGTAAGACTTACTATAAAGCTATAATCACTAAGATGTTAGCATAAAAAATAGATTAATGGAACAGAAGTTCAGAAATAGAGCCAAACGTATATGATCAATGATATTTGGTAAAAGTGCCAAGTCAATCCAGTGTGAAAAGTTAAATTCCAATGTGTTGGAACAACTGGGAATTAAATATTCACACACACACACACATACACACACACACACACACACACACACACACAGAGAGAGAGAGAAAGACTACAACCCGGGACCCTTACTTTTTATATACAAAGATTTAACTTGAAATGGATTATAGACTCAAATTTAAAATTTGCTAAAGCTATAAAATTTCTAGAAGAAAATATAAGAGAATCTTTTAGTCACCTTAGATCAAGCAAAATTTACTAAATAGTACTCAAATTTCATAGACTATAAAAAATTGATAAATCATACTTTGTTAAAATCTTAAGATTTTTCTTCTTCAAAAAACACTGTTGAGAAAATATAAGGGAAAGCTTGGGTCTCACTCTAGACCTACAAAATCAGTATCTCCAGGAATGGGGTTCCACATGTCATTTTGAACCATAACTGTTAAGAATTATTGCCTCGGTTCTCAAATTAAAATTTGAGAATTTCAATATATAGTACCATATTGATGGCCTCCGCATAGGACCAAAGAAGACTCACAGGGAGAAATAGAAGACAGATATTCTCTACGGTAAATGAGAAAATTAGATCTAGAGAAGAAAAAAAACTAAGAGATTGATAAATACTGGCTTGCAAATACATGAATAATCACTGTGCAGTGACCTTGGCACAGAGTCACTGCATAGTGACTAAAAAAAAAATAGTTCTTGATATTAGGTTTCAAATGAGATACTGGAATCTTCTCAAATATTCATTAAGGTAAGTTATTCCTCGTTAAAAGACATGATCTTAACCACAAGAAGGTAATCTGCAGAACTGAAGTTTCTCTCCTAGATAATTACTTGAGAAGTCATTCTGTATCAAAGTCCATTTGCCAAGAAGAGCCAATTCACAAGTTGGGCATCAAGAAAATCCCTCCATAAACACAATCTATATCCTTCTGTCCCCTTGCAAAGTTTTACTGTGTTAATGTAAAATTGAAAAACTGCACTGCTATAGTTTCCCTTTTCTCAGTCTACTTATTAGCAAACAGTAGTAGGTAAGAGGAAGACGTGGAAGAGTTTTAAAACTGTTTGAATTTATGTGTATCAGACACAAGGTCCCAAGAGATGTTCCATGTCTGTCTGCTCGGTGTCTGAATAATAGTTTTTAGACATAAGGTAAATATCTAAATAATAATCAACCCCAGAAATCAGCATTGTAGAAAGAATGAACTAGCTGAAATTTTATTTATATTATCTACCCTAATTTCCCCCAACTGAATGTTGAAAGTCAGGATGTACATATCTGAAAGAATATCACAAAGCAGGCACTTTACAAATATTAACTATTTTACTATGATAAAAGTGATGCATACTCATTTTAGAAAATACAGCTAAACACACACATAAAAAATTATTTATAGTTTTGCCACCCAAAGATAATTACAACTGATACTTATGTATCAACCATCTGTGCACTGACACATCCGTAACACCAAAATGGAAGCATCCAGTATATATTGTTTGTGATCCTGAAAGGTGCATTCTTCTGTTAATATGCAGCTATCTCTAATTTTCCAGCTATTATGTAGAATAAGATTCAGCAAACCTTAGTGAAACTTATGGTCACAAAGAAATATAAGAGTAGATTCCTGACCAGGGTTCACATCCACCAATTCTCTATATTGAGAGTTTGGTAATTTGATTTACCTAATTGCAACATTGATTATTTAATTGTGTTTCATCTTGCTTCTCATTTTGTAATCTAAACATCATTTTCAATGGATCTGCCTTCCCTTTTCTTTATCCTGAATTCTCTCCATTAGAAACTACATTTTATTTCATTGCAAAATGGATATTAATTAGCAGCAGAGATCAAAGAATCGTGTTACAATCCCTTATGGAAATTATTAAGATTCCACTTCTACTTTTTCATGAGTCTTTGTCCCAAAACTGAAGCAATAACTTGGTCACATTAAAAAAAATCTATACAAAAAGGAATTATTATTGTTGCTTATTCTTGCTGTCCTTTTTCCATGACCACAGGGAGCCAAATACTAATTCTTTATTGGATTCGTTATTGAAAGTGTTGCCAACACGGAATTGGGAAAAGAAAACAATTGAGCTTCCTAAGTAGACCACAGAGCACAAATCTTCAAATTAGCTCCAATAATTAAGGCATCTTGTGAAGGGCTTCAATGACAGGATACACTCATCTGTCCCTAGCACAAGACCCATATCAATTACCCTGGGTATGAGGAGGCTGGTACACAACAAAGGAAATAAAAATACAGAGGCTGACAGTCTAGACAAAGCCTGACTCTGGTCGAAAGCAGCCTCTCCAAGTGTTATCTTTAAGCCAAGTGGTTTTAAATAAGTTTAAATACCAACAGGGGGTTAATTTGAAATCAGTTTGATTCTATTTTTGAATTAATGCCTTTAAAAATCTGCTTTTATAATTTCTGCTTATCAAGGATTGCCCTTCTGGTATAAAAACCGAGCCAAGACTCAGTTATCAAATACTATGAAGGGTTCTGTTAATTAGATAGTTTATCTGTGATGAGTTGTTGACACTGAGATGATGTGTGTTAAATAATTTTAAAATATTCTGTGGGGCACTAACTTGGTGGTTCAAAGCATTATTCTTCAATTTTTCAGGCCCTGCTTTAAGTCAAACTAGAATCTCTTAGTATAAATTAATGTGAATCATTTCTTAAATATAGAATCATTCATATCTCAAAATTATATGTATGAGAGAATAAATCTTCTGGCGCTCTTTATTAGGCTGCTGTAGACCATTCTAACTAATCCAGCCTCTCTCACATGATGGTTGGTCTTTAACTGCTTGGTACTGACTGCCAGGAAATTCATCATTGCTGTTATTAAACACAATTCTCAGGATTTGCTCTTTTTATAATGTTTCTTGTAAAAGCTTTTTGTGTGATTTTTCCTCTGGCTTCTTGTTCTACTTCCATATAGGGCAACCCAGGAGAAATCTCAGACACTGAAATATTTTTACTCATGTAGGTAAATTAAAGCTCCAGCTGTTAAGGGTTTTTCTTTCTGTCTGTCAATTTTCTTTTTCAAGTTATGGTCTGTGAAGGCAGAGGCCAAGAACAGTCCACGGGGAATGGCTTGGAGCCTTAGAACAAGCTGGTATCCTTGTATTTTCCAGAGGAAAAAATATCGGACACCAAAGTTTAACATCAGGAAAGCTGCTAATTAATTAGCCCATAAATTGTTAAAAGCACGAATCATTCATCTCTGGGATTTCATTTAAGCTCCCCTTTAAATATTGATTTTATTTATCACTTTGTTTCTTTAAATTTTTGCTCTTTTCTTTTCTCACACATTCTCTAAGAGACATGATATTCTGTGTCTCATAGAATCTGAAGTCCTGAGGTTTTTGTTTAATTAATAGTCATAATGTGTTTAACTGGTATGTACATGACTTAGAAAAAGAGATGGTTCTTTCAAGGTAGTGAAGTTCTCTGCAAAAAAAAAAAAAAAATCACTAAATTCACAGGAATCCTTAGTTCATATTCTAATGTTACCATTATCTGTGGCCTCAGGCAAGTTGACTGCCTAGGTCTTGGTTTTCGTATTTGTTAAATAAGGAGATTAGAATCCATGAATATCCTTTCCATGTCTAATAGTCTATGATTCTCTTTATCAAAAGAACTTAGTGAAAGAATAAAAATGGAGTTCACGTGAGGAAATAGTTGGCAAGCAGCCATTTGAAACTGTTTTTGTTCATTTGCTTCAAAGAAGATTTTGAAGAAAATTATCAACAAAGAAAGGAGAATACTGGCAATCAGGTAAGAGGAAAGAACTCTGGACAAGGAGTGGGGATCCAGTTCTAGTCACAGTTGCACCACTGACAACTTAATGATCATGAAAAAGTTACGAAATTGAAGATTCTGAGGCCAAAGATTGGACTCAAAACTGAAAAAGTTTGATTTTATTATGATAGTCCCTTTGACTCCCAAACTGCTATGATTCTATAAAATGGCCCCAAAGTCAGGGAAGAGGATAACTGGAAATGTCCTCGCAGTTATTGTCAATGAATTCTATCCTTTCATTTCTGATTAGGGAACATTGTTCAAAAACATCACATCCTAGACCATCAACTCAGAAGTAAAACATACCCTTGGGGACCCTGAACAAATGCTATAACCAACAGTAACTTTCTGAATCTGTAATATTTTAGTTTTAATGATGGCAATCTCCATGTACTCACCCTGAGAGTTAAGGATTATAAAGAAAGTTGTTCCATATATTTATTGTTCCTCCTCTAAATTTCTTCTGTTCATTTTTTGACCCAGAATAAAACTGAAATAGCTAACAAAAATCAAGCCACTACTAAAAATATAAATCCGAGTGGTAAATCTCAAGACGATTAGGACATGTGAAGTATTTGTACCCTTTCTGCAAAATTTCCTAGACTGTCTAGGCACCCTCCATCATACTGAATTTTTGCAAAATAGCCGTATTACCTGCAAACTGACAATACTCATGCATTCCAGCCTTTTGACAGAAGAAATATTTTCATTAATATTTTTAAGCTCTGTATCAGTGTAAAAACTCAATCAAGACTCAAAGGGAAAAACCTAGCCAAAAAAATGTATTACAGAGGATAGTTTCCAGATTTTAATGATTTACCAAGTGAAAAATATAAAAAGTGATAGATTTTTTTTTCCTCCTAAAACATCAAGTACTGGACACTGCCCAAGGTAAGACTGCAAAAGCAGATGGTGTAATCATCCATTCCAGATAGTTCTGCTTCTTTTCTGCTTGTCTCCCTGGAACCCAGTCAGAAGCTTCTCCTTTTTCTTCAGGACATTGATGCTTCCCCTATGCTGGGACCCTCATTTTTTCATAAGTCCTACTTTGGAGAAGCAGCACATTCCAACAGCCCTTGCTTTGAACCATAGTATAAAAGATGTAGGCTCTGTTCTCAATTTCTTCATGGTCCTGGTATGCAACCTGGTCCAAATACTTTTGGCCAACCCCTCTTAATCCCATGCTTTGAGTTTTCTTTGATTGGTAAAAGAATAATTAGCAACATTTGAATTCACTGAATGCATATTTAATGCATTAATAATCAGGATCCATTATACCAGGACATAGAACTCACAACTAAAGCTGTTTAACGATTAAATAAGAAATCTGTACTTTAAATTTTCACCCATAGAGTTTTTGGATCATAGCAACCAACTAACTTCCATTAGCCTCCTACACAACCATTTTGAAATAGGAAACCAGAATAGAGGTTAAGGGAATTTCCTTAGGCCGCAGTCCAGATTTAGGTAATAACCTCTTTCCTCAACATGAGTCATTTACTTTAAAACTCCCCAAACCAAAAGGTTTTCAATGTCAGTCTCTAAAATACACACAGTACCCACTAAGCACAGCAAAAAAAATCTCCAAATACTCATGATTTTAAAATAAATCATAACCTAAACTATGTTTTAATGCCCAAAAGGCCCAGTAACTTTAAAATTGTTCCCTCAAAATAGGCTCTCAAATTGTTTTCACGTTGTACCTCCAGTGCTTGAAACACAACAGAGATTAAAAATGTATATTGAATGGATGATGAGTTGTTGACAGTAGTCTGAAATAAGGTAGCACGAAGAAAATGAGAAACTGAGTGAAGTGGATTGTCTGTAGGAATATTATAAAAATAAAAATACAAATAGTTTGTAATAAGGTGTGGAAAATACGTTGAAGAAGAGGGAACCTAAAGGGGTTTCCCAGCTTCTGACTTAAGAGACCAGATGATGCCATTCAATGAGATAGGAAATATGAAAGAGAGGGAGGTAGGTGGGTGCATGGTCGATGAGATCAAGATTATATGTGCTAAATCAAAAACTATCATGGAACATGGAGGGAGAATTATTTGATAAGAAATTGGATATACATATTTGAGTTGAATAGAGACATTTGTGACTTGGAAGTCATCATCATGTGTATCATAATTGAAGTTATGTCAATGAATGAGATTACCAATGTGATGGTTAATTTTAGGTGTCAACTTGGTTAAGGGATACTCACATAGCTGCTAAAGTAAAATCTCTGGATATGTCTGTGGAGGTGTTTCCAGAAGAGTTCAGCACTTGAATCTGCAGATTAAGTAAGGAAGATCTACCTTCACCAATTTCATCCAATCTGTTGAGGACCCAGATAGAACAAAAAAGCAGAGGACAGGTGAATTCACTTTCTCCTCTGGGACTGGAACATCCTTCTTCTATTGCCCCTGGATGTCAGAACACCAGGTGTTCAGGCTTTTGACTTTGGACTGAGAGTTATACCATTGGCTCCCATGGTTCTCATGACTTTGGACTTAGATTGAATTATACCACCAGCTTCCCTGATTATCCAGCTTGCAGATGATGCTATATCATGGAACTTCTTTCTACTTTTTTTAAATACACACACACACACACACACACACACAATTTTATTTATTTATTTATTTATTTTATTTTTTGAGATGGAGTTTCACTCTTGTAGCCTAGGCTGGAGTGCAATGGCACAATCTCGGCTCACCGCAACCTCTGCCTCCCAGGTTCAAGCGATTCTCCCGCCTCAGCCTCCCGAGTAGCTGGGATTACAGGCATGCACCACCACACCTAGCTAATTTTGTATTTTTAGTATAGATGTGGTTTCATCATGTTGGTCAGGCTGGTCTCAAACTCTTGACCTCAGGTGATCCACCCACCTGGGCCTCCCAAAGTGCTGGGATTACAGGTGTGAGCCACTGCATCCGGCCGACACACACATATAGTTTAGAGACAGGATTTCATTTTGTCACCCGTGCTGGAGTGCAGAGGTGCAATCACGGCTCACTGTAACCTCAAACCCCTGGACTCAAGCAATCCTCTTACCACAGCCTCCTATATAGGTGGGACTACAGGTGCACAACACCATGCCTGGTTAATTTTTTATTTTATTTTATTTGTTTTTTGTAGAGACAGGTTCTCATTATGTTGCCCAAGCTGGTCTTGAGCTCCTGGACTCAAGTGATCCTCCTATCTCAGCCTCTCAAAGTGGTTGGATTACAGATGTCAGCCACTACGCCTGGCCTCATGGGACTTCTCAGCCTCCATAACTACATGAGCCAATTCCCATAATAAATCCCCTTTTATATATATATAAATATGTATATATGTCCTTATTAGGTCTATTCCTTTGAGGAACCCTGACTATGATACCAAGGGAATAAGTATAGAACAGGATATCAATATAATTTGAAATTAGTGTGAAGCCTCCAACTTTGTTTTTCTTTCTCAAGGTTGTTTGTCTATTCAGGGTCTACTGTAGTCCCATATAAATTTTAGAATTATTATTTTTTTCTATTTCTGTGAAAAGTGCCATGGAAATTTTGATAGGGATTTGCACTGAATCTGCACATCACTTTAGGTATTAAGGATATTTTGACACTACTAATTCTTCCACTCCACAAATATAATATATCTTTTTATTTATTTGTATCTTCTTTCTTTCATCAGTGTTTTTTGATTTTCAGTGTACAGATCTTTCATTTCCTTGATTAAATGGTTATTTTATTCATGTTGATGCTATCATAACTGGGATTGTTTTCCTGATTTCTGTTTCAGATACATCATTGTTGGTATAAAGAAATGCAACCAATTTTTGTATATTGATTTTTTTTAATCCTGCTAGTTTACTGACTTTATTAGTTTTAACAGGTTTTTTGGGAGAAGTCTTTAAGGTTTGCTACATCTAGGATCATGTCATCTGCAAATGGGGATAATTTTACTTTTCCTTTACAATTTAGATGCCTTTTATTTCTTTTCCTTGTCTAATTGCTCTAGCTAGTACTTCCAGAACTATATTGAATAGAAGTGCTCACCACTTCTATTCAGAAGAGTGGGCATCCTTGTCTTATACCAGATCTTAGAGGAAACGTTTTTTCTCATTGATTATAATATTAGCTGTGGGCATTTGTAAATGGCAGTTATCATATTGAGGAAGTTTCCTTCTATACCTATTTTGTTGACATCTTTTATCATGAAAGGATGTAGAAATTTGTCAAATGCTTTTTCTGCATCAGTTGACATGGTCATATGCTTTTATCCTTCATTCTGGAAATGCTGTACATTACACTGCTTGACTGGTACATTCTTAAATGATTGTGAGCGTTGCTAAATTTTTAATTTGTTAAGGACATTAAAAGTCTATATAAGTAGCCTTTACTATTATTACTGTTTCATAGAAGTAGAAGACAGATATTTCGACACAAAAAAAGTATTGATAACACAATCCTAAAACGAAGGACAGTCCTCCCAATTAACCAATTAACGTAGATAAAAGACTCATTACACTGACCTTCATTGAAAAAATGGCTATCATGAAATGACACTATTTGAGGACAAGCATTTGGGAAGAACTAGTACCAGTGTAAACAGATTTCCAAGGACAAACATCCAGGGAATGCTCATCTTTAAGTGCTCATCTTTAAGTGCTCATCAGAGAAGAAGAGTCTACCAAAGAGACTGAAAAGCAGTAAATGGAGAAGTAGAAAGTAAATCTAGGGAAGTATGACATCCTAAAGCCAGAAAAATGTTTCAATAAACATGCAGTCAACAATTCAGATGTCACTGAAAGCCAACGGACATATTAACAGAGAGTCTGCTGATATCCTAAGTAAGAATAGTTTTATACTAAAATAATATGATGTGAAGACTTCACTTCTGGGCTGACTCAGGCAATACAACAAATTTTGTTGAGACTTCTAAATTCAGATCAATAAGTATTTGCTGAGCACTTAGTGTGCCCTGAACTATTTAACAAAGCCCCTGAGCGATTCAAAGATTAGTGACATATTTCCTGTCCTCAAGAAACTTGTAGTCTCAGGAGAGAGATAAGAAAGTAACTCCATGAGCTTGTCCTTAAGGTACTTCATATAAATGAAATCACACAATGTTTGCCCTTTTGAAATTGATTCATAATAGATATGCATATTTTGGGGTACATGTGATATTTTGATACATTTATATTAATGTGTAATAATCAAATCAAGGTAATTGGTATATCCATCACTTCAAATATTTATCTTTTCTTTATGCTAGAAACATTCAAATTATTGTCTACTAGCTGCTTTGTAATAACAACAGATTGCTGTTTACTATAGTCACTCTACTGATTTAATGAAGACTAGGTCTTATTTCATCTCTCTACCTGTATTTTTGTACCCACTAATCAACTTGTCTTCATCGCCTCCAACCCCTACCCTTCCCAGCCTCTGATAACCACCAAACTGGTATACAGAAAGCATTCAGCACACACTAACTGAATACCCACTGTGCAACATCTACATTGATCCATCACCAGTGGTTATGTTTTCTATCTTATTTTCTGATTTTAACCATTTTACTTCTAACAAATATGTCAAATGTATAAAGAGGAAAAACAAGAAGGAATTTCTACCAGGGCAGGGAAAGCTTCATGATGGGCACAAATTCACAGGGGGAAAAAATCGTGTAATTAGATGTTAGCAACTTTCAACCCCACCCGCCCATCAAGGACAGAAAAGGGAATAAAGTTTGAGTTGATCAACAATGATCAATAATTTAATCAAGTGTATCTATGTAATGAGGCCTCCAGAAAAACCTAAAAGAACCTGATTTGATGAGCTCCTGGATTGGGCTGATGAACATCCACTGCTGGGAGGGAAGTGTACCTCAACTCCATGTGGACAGAAACCCTTACGCTTAGGACCCTTCCAAATCTTGTTCTATGGATCTCTCCATCTGCTTCTTCATTTTTATACCTTAACATATTCTTTGTTATACAGTGATAATAGTAAGTAAGGAGTTTCCTTGAATTCTGTGAGCCACTCTAGCTAATTAATATATGCCAAGGAGTGGTGTCAAGGAAACCCCTAACTTATTGTTAGTTGGCCAGAAGTACAGGTCACAACTTGGGACTTGTGATTGGCATGTGAAGTGGAGGGCAGTCTTGTGGGACTAAGGCCGAAAGCTGTAGGATCTGATGTTAACTCCAGGTAGAGACTGTGAGAATTGATTTAAATTGAAGCATACCTAGCAGTTTCTGCTGAGTACTTGTTGTTGGTGGGGAGAAATCTCCACACATTTTGGTGATCATAAGTGTTCTGTGTTGAGGGAGTTTGTGAGAGTAGGAAAAACAGTTTGTTTTTTCCTATTCAATTTAGTTTTGGCCAAATGAGGGTAGATCAAAAATAGTATGGAATATGACAACACACTTTAGTTTGATGAGGTGATGTTTGAGGATAGAGCTGAAAGTTGAGAAACTTTCTACTTAAAGTGAATGAGAGAGTGATTAAGAATCCCAGGAAGAGGGAATAGCATGGGAAAAAAATATTTCCTTCCATTTGTGGTTTCCTTTCAACATTACCAATCTATAAATGTCTGCTCTTTGGATTATTCTTTGAATTGATTATCAACATCTTTCCAGTTTCCTAATTAATAATAATTTAAATAAAAATTTAATTTGTGTATTAAAAAAAGAAATCAACATAAAAATCTATGGATTATCACCAAAGAAGATATGCAACAGCCAACAAACATATAAAAAGATAGTCAACATCATTAGTCATCCAGGAAATGCAATTCAAAACCACAAGATACCACTTCATACCCATTAAGATGGCTAGAATTAAAACAGGCATACATACACACATACACACACACACACACACACAGAAAATAACAAGATACTTTGTTGGTGGGAATATAAAATGAGGCAGCTGCTCTGGAAAACAGTATGGCAGTTTCTCAAAATGTTAAACATAGAGCTACCATGTGACCCAGCAATTACATTTCTAGGTGTATACTCAACAGAATGGAACACAGGTGTTCAAAAAAAAACTTCTACATAAATGTTCACAGTAGCATTATTCATAAAAACTAAGAAGTGCAAAAAGTGGAAACAACCCAAATGTCTATCAACTTATAAATGGATGAACAAAATGTGTTATATCTGCATAATGAAATATTATTCAGCCATAAAAATTATTAATATATACTACATCATGGATAAATCTTGAAAACACTACACTAAGTGAAGGAAACCATATATATAAAGCCACATATTGTATTATTTATTTCAAATATCCAGAATAGGCAAATTCATCGGAGACACAAAGCATACTAGTGGTTGCCAGGATTGGAAGAAATGAGGATTGACAGCTTAATGGGTACAGGGTGTTTTGTGTGTGTGGTAGGGGAGAGGGGGAGAGGTGGTAGAAGTGCTTGGGAATAAGATAGTAAAATAGGGGTGACAGTTACATAATATCATGAATGTACTAAAAGCCATTGAATTTTGCACTTTATAGTGGTCAATTTTATGCTATATGAATTTAAAAAAAAAATCTATGGAATACAATGTGGCCACAAGAGCCATAGGAGGGTTGCCAGGCACTATGAGAATATAAAGGATGATAGAGCAATCAGAAAACTAAAAAGTGTGGTAGTTTTTGAGCTAAAATTTTAAATGCAGAGACAAATACAAAAGAAGATTTGAAATGCAGAAATAGATACAAAAGGACAAATAGCAACAGAAGCAGAGAGAACATTTTCAGCAGGGTAAGAAATGGCAGGAAAATGTAGCTCATGTTCAAAGAGCATTTGATGGTCCTGTTTGGCAGTCACAGAATACGTGAAAGGTAGCAGTAGTGAAAGAAAAATTAAGGCCATGTAATTTGGAAATTCAAGTGCTCTCTTTTTCTATAGGTGTAATTTCTTCTTGGCAGTTAGTAGTGACAGCACATTGTTTGAAGTAGGTCTTAAATGCAGATCTTTGAAATGATTCCCACAGAAAATGTCTAAATTGGGAGTTTTTTCTATGCCCTTCCTCCTCACATTTTTTTTACTTTTAGTAAGTTTAGGGTAAACAAGACAATAATAAAAAGCTCTTGATACAGTGGGAAAAGGGGGTCTGTTCTCCCACACAAGTCCTTTGCTGGTTATAAAATTCTTCAACATTGGCAAGCAACATCAGTGTTCTTATTGTAGATTTGTTATTTTCAAAACCCAAAGCAGCCTCAAGTTACTAGTGTAGTATTCTCCTTTCCATGATTTCAGAAAATGTAAGTAGTTTAGCCACTTCCTATATGTCTAAATCACAGCAGAAGACATGGAAAACATAGGTACCTAAAACACTGTTGAAGGAATAAGAACTCTCCAAGCTTATGAGATGCATAGGATGGAAATTAGGCTCCTAGTTAGAAAGCATTTCATCAGCATACATGACATATGTCAAGTTAAATAATGCCAGAGCAGACCTCTCATCTTCAGCTACTCTTTCTTACTTAGAGCCCTTAGACAAATCACTAACATCTGATTCTGATTCTGCATTTCCATGATCTTCATTATCATTTGAGTCATCACCAGCACACAGTCATGAAGAATCTATGTGCATATAAACTGATTTTACTTTGAATTTATATAAAAAGCATTATATCTACCTCTGTGGCAGACACACGCTAAGGTGGCCAGCCTGGTCCCTACCTTCTGGTATTCACATCTTTATGTAATCCCTCCCATAGCGTGTAGGAAGGCCCTGTGACTTGTTCCCAACCAGTAGAAAATGGCAAAGGTGAAGGGATGTAAGTGATTACATACATGCAATACATACTATTATAGCACCCAAAGTGCTGGAGTTTCTTTCTTTCTGTTGTTGGCTTTGAAGAAACAAGCTGCCATGCATCCTAAAGATGCTAGGAAATGAATCTGCTAATAACCTAAGAAATGTGGAAGCAGATCCTTCCCTGGTCTAGCCTCTGGTGAGAACCCAGCCCTATCCAACACCTTGGTTGCAGTCTCATGAGAACATATTTTGAGGAACCAGTTAAGCAACATTTAGGCTCTTGTCCCATGCAACTGAGAAAAATAATAAATGTGTGTTCTTCTAAGCCATTAAGTTTGTGGTAATTTGTTATGCAGTCTTAGAAAAAAAATTACAACTTCCAGGAAGCACACTGTTTAAAACAGATAAGGAAAGAAACACTGTTACGCAAACAAAAACATTAACCAAGTATATATAGCTCCAGGGTTTTTTGTTCTCTCTGTAGGGAAAAAGAAATAGCATAAAATTTATTATTTTATTAGCAATTAGAGAGCTTAAGCATGGGAATATCTATAAATTCTCAATGTTATGGAGCCAAGTAAGAGGATGGTATGTCACGACATCCTAGCAGGCAATTTAAGTATAGTTAGGAAAGTTCTTATGCCCCCAGTTCTCCTCAACCCAAAACCAGAAATAAGCCCTTTATCATTGTGGCCTAAGACTGAATTCTGGGTGTATGCACATATTCCTAAGAAGGAAGACATCTTAAACTATTACCAATGATTTTTACATATTGAGAATTAAATTGTATATGAGAAGTGGGGAAGACCATGCAAACTCTGCTGGTCAGGCCAGCTCTATCTTTATAAGTATGACTTTAACCCAGGAAAGCTTTCTAAATACACAGAAAACCAATACCTCCAAGAATATACTAGGTTTTCAGACCTGAATATTGAACCATTCATTTCAACAGCTAGGGTGTTTCCTTGTCCTCATTGTGTTTCCTGGTTATGTCTCTGCCTTATCCTTTTAGTTGACGCATTGACTGACTACTTTCCAATTTCCCACCTAGAAGCATGGCTTTATTGCTTTTATCTGTCCTACCACTGATTCTGATACTTCAGTGATGAGTGTCTAGATAACATTCTCCCCTGGTAATAGTGAAGTCTCTTAGCCAGCAACTCCCTTGAGCAACATTCATCCCTGCAAATAAGATCTAGATATAGGCACCTGAGGAGAGAGGAAAATGGTGTTCAAGAATGAGAAGGAAAGTCCATGAACTCAACTTTACTTAATTTTGCATGATTTAGCATAAATTCTGTGTAGTTTTTATTAAGTTATCTATACAAGCTAATATTTAAACCCACTTGAACTTGGACTATCTGATTTCTCTCCAATGTCCAGGACTCAACAGTGTTATCTGTGGGAAATAATGAGAAGAAAAAAATTCTTACTTTCTCCTAATTCATTTCAACGTTTATTAAATAACTGTTATATGCAAGGCACTTTGCAAAGTACTATCACAGTCTCAAAATGAATATATCATATCCCTTCTACCAGGTTGCAGGAGAGAAGATAATTTAAATAAGCAGAAAAATAGTGCTACGATAGAGGCACAGAGTGATAGAAGGAAAAGATTACGTAAGGCTGGAGTAATCATAAGTGTCGGCAGGGAAAGGAGTTAAAGAAATTGATCTGTGATCCATTTCTTCCTGAAGATGGTTCTAGAAAAAGAAGACAATGCTTCAGTCTAATATCCTTGCAAATATAAAAACTGGACTTCTGGGCAAATTGAATAATGATGCAGGATGTCTCTGGTTTAGGATTGCTTAGGGTAAACAAGCCTACAATGTATGGATTTATGATGCATGGCTCCCTAGAGAATGTGACATAAGCTATACAACTCTCCGGAGCATGAAGTGGAGATGTTTCCTAACTTCAATGCTGTCCACTGTGTGAGGTGACCTGCAGCCCTCATTAGAGACCTCATCTATTATTCTGGGTTGGAGAGTACACGTCCACAACAACAAGGATGTGGGAAGCCCTGTGGAATGACCCAGCCTTTTCTCTGCTTGCCTGTGTCTTGAATGCTTGTATCCTTGGAATTAGCTGTGAAGCTTGATACTGAGAAAGGTCTCTCATTTGTGTGAGTGATTTGACAACCTGATCCTTGGTGTTAGCTCAATCTTCACAGAGGAGGTAGACTTGAAATGAGCTTCAAGAGGTGTGCAGGATTTTAAAAGGCAGAGATAAAGAAGCTGGCATTCCAAGGAGAGGAAAAAAAATAGGAACAGGGATAAGAAAGTAGAAAACCAGAGTTTGTTCAGACCATAATACACCTCCTAGTTTGGCTGGAGTATACAACATGTCTAAGGGAAGTGTAATAGATGATAAAGCTCAAAAAGTAAGCTAAGGACTTTGAATTTCAGGATGCAAATTTTATACTTAAATCTGTAGGAAATGGGGAGCCATGGAAGATTGTTTTAATGAAAAGAATTACAGAATCACAGCAGAGCTTTAGGTAGATTTCTCTAGCAGTTACATGCCGGTTGTTTCAGAGCACAGAAAATTTATCCATATTGAAGCATAAAAGGCTTAGTTCAAGTATTCTCAAATGAGCTCCATGAACTCAGAGGGGGTGAATATATTGGCACAATTTAAAGTTCTCCTTGAAGATTCTGTTGATGTTGTTTGCTTGTTTTGTTTTAACATTTAGAAAATGTTTTGTATTCATTTGGTGATATTTTTAAAATGCATATTTAGGATCAGCTAGATAACCATATTATAATTGGATATTACCACAAATTTCAGTGCTCTAGCCTTCCTTCTGTTTTATCATTGTATTGATATCAATTACAATTTAAATTGTAATGGACTAATAAGGAAAAATAAAAGAGACTTTAAATGTAAATTTGTATTCATACCTAGGGAAGAGCAAACATTTTTATACTTATTTTAATTTTTTTTAAGTTGTGGGAGAATCGTGTCATCACAGAGTACCTTGTAGCACATATTGAATGAATGAATACTGAATGAACTTGAATGAATGTTTTCCCTTACCTCTCCAGACTACTTCCTCTATCCTACTCTTTTTATTATGTGCCCATGATCTTCATCAAGAGGCTTTCTCATACTCTGTTTTGTTTTTCTTTTTTGGTTAGGTTCAGTAAATGGGGATCTATAGCAGGAGGCTGAAGAGTGACAATAGTGAGGTCAGGGCATTTATTTTGCTGGTTTCCTCTTGGGTGTGTTCCTATAAGTTAATTATGCCCCTTTTACAAAAATCATAGATTTTCTAAGTTTTTCCTCTATCCCTGCAGCCACACTCTCTCTGTTCTGATCATTGTTTCTTCATTTGCTTCTACAGCCTTACAGATCATAATGGCTCTTCACTGTTGCTGTTTCTCAACCCTCTTTAGTTTCTTCTAAGCCAGTCTGTACCTTTGTACATATTTCCTTTTTTAAATCCTCTTTAAGTACTGAAATGCCATTCATTTTCTGCCATGATCTATCTAATACAATGAACCTCAATAGTCATTAATATGTTTATATTTCAAGTATCAATTTGGTTCTAGCAAAGCAGTATCATCTGTCACATTAAAATAAATGTGTTACTGTGAATCATATTAGTTTTATAGTTTTATTTGTATTTAATATATAAATTTGTTTTGGCTTTATAGTTGTATCTGAGGTCTAATCATAAGATGCTAGTTTTATGTTTGTACATATTTAAGTAAATTAATGATAATAATAAAAATAATTTAAATCAACATTAAGCATTCTTGACATTTTTCCACCAGGCCATATATCAGTCAAGTTTGATAATCACTAGCTGATATGGTTTTGCTGTCTTCCCACCCAAATCTCATCTTGAATTGTAACTTCCACAATTCCCACGTGTTGTGGAAGGAACCCAGTGGGAGGTAATTGAACTATGTGAGTGGGTCTTTCCTGCACTGTTCTCGTGATAGTGAATGAGTCTAACAAGATCTGATGGTTTTAAAACAGGAGTTCCCTACACAAGCTCTCTCTTTACCTGCTGCCATCCCTGTAAGACATGACTTGCTCCTCCTTGCCTTTCACCTTCCACCATGATTGTGAGGCCTTCCCAGCCACATGGAACTGTAAGTCCAATAAACCTCTTTCTTTTGTAAATTGCCTAGTCTTGGGTATGTCTTTATTGGCAGTGTGAAAATGGACTAATACACTAGCCTAGCTTATTGTTTCCAACAGAGGTTCCAAAACATCTCTAAAAAGCATCATAAAAGTTGTCAGAGTGTGAAATGGACAACTGATAGTAAATACATATCGAAAGCCAAGAACTTCATAAAGCCCATTTATAAATGATTTCAGAAGTAATGACCAGCAACAATTGCATATTCTTCCACCCCCACAGATATCTGAGAAGGCGTACATGAACCACCATAGTTTTTCATGAATACCAATCTCCAAACTCCACATTGGAGCATTGCACTTAGAATGTCTTCAAATCAAGCTAGTGAAGTAAATTCATGATTTGGCATACCCCTCTACTCTAAATGCATAGCAAGTATAAAAAGAAAAAAAAATACTTAGCTATATATTTTTTTAAATAAGCATCTATGTAGACCAAAAATTCATAGTGGTAAGTAGAGCTGAAGCCCCTGGCTTGCTGGGCATCAGGTCCAGAAGCACACTGGCAGCAGGCAGTTCCATTTCAGAAGCCTAAAGTACTCCAGATGAAGGGCAAGCTTCACAACTTGTAGGCAAAGGTTAAGGGAATTTCTGCTGATTGGTGCTTGGAATTTAAAAAGGCATTAGGCCCAGGGAATTGGGATGACATCAGCCTTATAGTAACTGAAAAACTTGCCTTTTGGCTTAGTGAATGAATCTTCAGTATCCCAAATATCATTAAGGTATAACTTTGAATCATCATTTTATAACTCAGTTCCGCATGGGGATGGTGAACCAAGTTATAATATGATACTTAGTTATATAAGTTGGTACTGCCACTTACCCTGATACACTCCCATTAGATGAGGTGGCAGGTAGTATACTAGTTAGGGCAAGTGACAGTACCAAATCAACCCAAAATATCAACAGATTTACACAACAAAGTTTTATTCGACATTCACAGCACACTCTAATGCAGGTCAGATGATTCTCCTTGGCAACTGTCATCCAGCAGTGACTTGGGAGTCTGAGATGATTTGATATAGTACCTCTGCCAATTCAGTGCTCCTTTTTTTTTTTTGAGCAACAAGGCTGTTTATTTCACCTAGGTGCAGGCGGGCTGAGATTCAGCGAAGGGAGATAGGGGTGGGGCCGTTTTATAAGATTTGGGTAGGTAAAGGAAAATTATAGTCAAAGGGGGTTGTTCTCTGGCGGGCAGGAGTGGGGGTCACAAGGTACTCAGTAGGGGATCTTTTGAGCCAGGATGAGCCAGGAGAAGGAATTTCACACGATAATGTCATCAGTTAAGGCAGTGTTCTTTATGTTCATTGATGAGATAGAAAACATGGCTATCTTATATCATCTCACACCAGTTAGAATGGCTATTATTCAGAAGTCAAAAAAATAGATGTTGGCGAGGTTGCAGAAAAAAAGGTTGGTAGGAATGCAAATTAGTTTAGCCTCTGTGGAAAACAGTTTGGAGATTTCTCAAAGAACTAAAAATGGAATTACCATTCCACCCAACAATCTCATTACTAGATATATATTCAAAAGGAAAGAAATCATTCCACCAAAAAGAAACCAGCACATGTATGTTTATCACAGCACTATTCACAATAACAAAGATATGGAATCAACTCTGGTGGCCATCAACAGTGGACTCGACAAAGAAAATGTAGTATGTATACACCATAAAATACTATGCAGCTATAAAAATAACAAAATCATGTCCTTTGCAGCAGCATGAATGCAGCTAGAGGCCATTATCCTAAGTGAATTAATGTGGAAACGAAAAACAAAATACTACATGTTCTCACTTAAAAGCAGGAGCTAAACATTAGGTACACAGGGATACAAAGATAGGAGAAATAAAAACTGGGAATTCTGAAAGGGAGGGGGAGGGGAATATTGAAAAAACTACCCATTGGGTTCTATGTTCACTACTTGGGCTACATGATCAAGAAAATCCCAAACCTCCGCATCATGCAATATATTCATCTAACAAACCTGCACATGTACCCCCTTATTCTAAAATAAATGAATAAACAATATTTAAAAAGAAAAGAAAACATGACTATCTCACATAAACACTTAACTGTTTTTTGGACTCAGAGTGATACATGTTACTTCCACTCATAGCCTTTTAGCTAGAACTAGTCACATAATCCTAAAATAAATACAAGAGTGGAAAACATAAGAAAGTACATGAATATTTGCTAAGCAGGATCCCGGTGGATGAGTCTTCAAATTTTCTAGAGAAGTGAATAAGTCCAGAGTGAGAGAGAAAACAACCACCTTCTTGTGCAAAATAAGCTGCAAACCAATGTTTCAAAACATAAGAAGTAATGTACCAATAAGAAAGAAATCATAAACAACAATTAGACCATCCTGGCTAACATGGTGAAACCCCGTCTCTACTAAAAATACAAAAAAAAAAAAAAAATTAGCCGGGCGTGGTGGCAGGCGCCTGTAGTCCCAGCTACTTGGGAGGCTGAGGCAGGAGAATGGTGGGAACCCAGGAGGCGGAGCTTGCAGTGAGCCGAGATGGCACCACTGCACTCCAGCCTGGGCGACAGAGCGAAACTCCGTCACAAAAAAAAAAAAAAAAAAAAAAAAATTAGAACATGAATTGCTTTGTATGAAATTAATCTCACAGAAAAGATTGCCAGACTTTAAAATAAGTGTATTTTGCATCTTCATAGACATAACTGAATTAATAACTTCTACTTGGAAATTAAAAAACAGAAGAAATAAAAATTTATATCAAAATGGATCAATTAGAAATATAGCTATTGAAATAAAAAATGCAATGGGTAGATGAAACTAAATTAGACGTAATTGAAAACAGAATTACTGGACAGTAGGAAAAGGAGTAAGAAAAAAAAATGCACCCAATAAGCCAGAGACAATGAGGCTTTTAAAATAGGACGAGCAATTTTGAAATGTAAGACAAAATGAGGAATTTACACATTCTTCTAATAAAACTCTGAGAAGAATAAAACAGAGGAAATGGATGAGAAGCATTATTTGAAGAGATCATTGTTAATAATTTTTTTAAATGGAAGAAAGACATGAAATAGAGAATGCATTCCTAATTACTGGATAATAAAAATAAGTCCTCACCAAAACTCATGCTAAACTGCAAAATACCGAGGATTTTTAACAAGCCATCTTAAAACCTACCTTGGAAAATATTTTAACTGCAAAGGAATAAAAATAGATTCACAAAGATTTCACATCTAAAGCAATAAAATCCAGAAAACAATACAACAATATCTTGAAAGCACTGAGGAAAAAAGATGTCAACTTAGAATTTTATATCTGCTTAAACTATTACTTCAGAATGAGGCAAAATCTGCATATTATTGGATCTACCAAGACTTAGAGTTTACCACACACAGACCCTCCCCGTAAAATTAAAGGATGTACTTTATCAAAGAGGAAAGTGAACCCAAAGGAATATATGTGCCACAAAATGTGTGAGAACAAAAGCCCATAAAATTCTAGTAAAGAAAAATAACTATTGGCCATAGAAAACTAATGATAACTAATAATTGATGTTCAACAGGCAAAATAAAAATTTGAAATCCATAACAAATGAGACAGAACGATCAAGGGTCCTTAAAGAATGTGAAGTCCCCTATCATGTTGCTTTCCATTGCTTAGGATTTCAGTATTAGAAAATATTAGAAGATGGTGCCAGCCACAGGGGCTCAGACCTGTAATCCCAGCACTTTGGGAAGCTGAGGTAAGCAGATCACTTGAGGCCAGGAGTTCGACACGAGCTTGGCCAACAAGAGGAAACCCCATCTCTACTAAAAATACAAAAATTAGTCAGCATGGTGGCACATGCCTGTAATTCCAGCTACTCAGGAGGCTGAGGCACAAGAATTGCTTGAACCCGGGAGGCAGAGGTTGCAGTCAGCTGAGATCATGCCACTGCACTGTAGCCTGGGTGACAGATCTAGACTCCATCTCAAAAAAAAGGAAAATATTAGAAGTAGGGGAAAAGGCTCAGGAGTGATAGCATCATGCTGAGCTCCAAGTAGGTGGTTGTGCTTGACCTTGATAGAATATGAATTTTTCTGTGTGCCTTGGTGTTTTTCCAATCTCATTTATTTTCCAAAATTTGAAAGAGAATAGGGACTGACCTAGTTTCCAATTTTGGAGTCTTTTAAAATATTTTCTATTAATCCAGGTAAGCGATTGTATTTTGAATATTTATAGAAAGTATGACTGTTTTTAAGATTACAAAGAGGTGTTATGCTTCTGACTTCTGGTGGGGAGAAGAACAGTGACAGTATCTTTGGGTACACAGTGACACAAAGATAGGAACAATAAAAACCCATGCATCATAAAATCGCACACACACACACACATGCTCACAATCATTATGGGCTTTCACCTATGTTACCAGGTTGCTATAGTTCAAAAGTATAACAAACTGCATGAGGCATCACAATTGCTTCATAAGGGAGTCTTACTTAAAATTCAGTTTGCCATCAGCAAGTGGTAAAGATGAAAAGAATCTTATAGGATTCATACTTTGAATTAGCTTGTGAGGAAAAGAAGGTTTTCTGCCAGGAAAAGTGGAAGATGTTGCGTAGTATCTGCCATTTTTAGTTTTAGTTACTGTAATTGTTCGGGGTCAGTGAAATCAAACTTTAGGTATTTGAGTCTTTTTTCTGGCTGAACTTTTTTTGGTAATTAAAGAGCAAAAACTTTAGGAGAGTTTATTTGTAACTGTTGTTGGATGGTGGGATGAAACAATTATAATGAATTCATCTGTATCTCATTATTGCAAGCAGCAAATAAGTCTGTTGCTTAGTGATAGTGATTATAAGAGAGAAACAAGTAGAATTTCATTGCAGAAAAATATTCATTATATAAAATTTGATAAAAAGGTCATTATTTTACAGAGAAGCTCATTGAATTTAATAAGCTTTGTTACATAGAATACCTTTTTTAATATAAGATACCATGACAACTTTTACTCTTTTCCTTTATCATATTTTAAGCCCAAGTCACGTGAAATGCAATGGTCAGTTTCTTATAGCTCTGTGGTCTGTGTCATAAGAAAAATGCAAAAAGTAATAAATTATTGAGGACATCAAAGTAACAGAATTCATGCAATGACAATGTGAAACATAAGGGAAATGTGGTTTCAAAGAAGACCATGACTTACAAAAGTTTGGGATTTCTGGACTGATTTCTTGAAGCAGAAAAAAAAATAATTTCAGCAGACTTTAATTCCTCATTGCTGCAAAATAACATTTCTTTTTTAATATAGATTGGAAATGGATTTTCAAGGACCTATATAATTGTTCTCAGAGCCATAGCTGTGGCTTCCATTTGTTCTTACTATTTAAATTCAACACCTGCTGAGAACCAAAATTTCTAACCATGTAGGAGGAAGGAAAATATTAGATTTCATTTTACCATGGATGAACTCAAATCAATTTGACAAAACTGAGCTAATTTTAGCTTCCTGCCTACTGACTCCCAGTAAAAAGAGCATGAGTGAGACTATCAGTCTTTATCCCTATTAAATAAGCTACTAATTTGTTACTTGTTACTCCAAGTCATGGGGTGAACAATTGAACTAAAGCTAGGAAAGAAGTCATGTCTAAGTGCCACAAGTTCAGCAAAGTTGTAATGAGACATCATAAGTTTACAGAAGGAGAAAAGTGTCCAAGACGACATGGAATTCAAGGTAAGACACAAATAAACAGAACACCACCAGAAGAGACTGACCTTGTGGCTTAGGAGGCGTACCTTGCATTACTCTTTAAATTCCTTTTGTGATGCAAAATGATCACTGTAGAAATTGAAAAGAAATATAATGGAAAAGAAAAGCTTTATGTATGTTTAAACTTAAATAGAAAACAAGGCAGTTGGCAGTTAAATGCAAAATTAATGGTGATTAAACAGATAACTGAGCCTATATCATTTTCAAGAAAAGTCAAATGCTTGTTCACTTGGCCCATTTGAAGCTTATGTTTCATTATGCTGTTTGGCTATTATTTCTGGAGGTAGGCATTGTGCACATATCAAAATTTACAGTCAACAGACCCTTTAGCTCTTGTCCTTCCAGTGTCAATTTACTCTAGATTTTTGTATTTGCTATAGATTTCTGCAGCTACTATAGATTTGTCTAGCATGTATTTTTTCATGTTTTACTGAATCTACTGAATCCAATTATATATTATTTTAAAGACAGTCTAGTAAAACGAACACATAGCTCTAAATAAAGAATCATCATTAGTGGCTTTCATTTCAGAATGTAAGAACAATGGAAAGGCAGGTTGATAATACACAATTTCACCTGTGAGACATGATTTTCTGTTTACACATGATCAAAAGAAAAACAAGCTTACTGACTTTAATATAGGCCATTTTTCTAACTCAGCCTTAAGTGATTTCAACCTCAAGCTTCCTATTTTCAAAGACATTGAGTCTTAAGGGACAGGCTGTATTTTAAGCTAATATGTCAAATTGATCGACTTAAAAACATATCTACCTGTGATGTACGTCTCAAACAAAATCCATAAGAAAAAATTGACAGTGTTTGTTGGAATCTAGATAAATAACCCCAATAGAATAACATTTTGAGTTAAAATAAAAAGATTTAGGTGAAATATTTCTAACTTTTAGAAGTTCATAAACAGGAACAACAAAAGAAAATCTCTCTCTCTCTTTCTGGCACTCTCTCTCTCCTTCATCGGCTTTTACTCTAACAAGTACTTCCATTTTTAGCTGTGAAGAATTGATTGATTTGAAGTTGTGCCATTGTCTTCTAATTAGTGGTAAAGATTAAAAATAGTAGTCTCTATATTATTTAGTGTTAGGCAATAACGGCATTTACTGAAAATACGGAGAATTTGTGCCCACTGGCCCTTTAATTGCCTGTGAGTTAATAAGTACTCATTAATCAATTTGAAAAGGAAACAAAATTCCTACTGATTATCATGTGAGCAATATTGCTGGGCCCTGGTAAAATGTGAAGTAAGTAAAGTTTTTTTTTGGATGCCCTGTCTTCCCAACTACTCCATTATTCTTGTTCTCTTCCTCTTCTCTTCCAACCTCCCTCCCCAACCCATAATAGTGACAATTTTAGCCCAAGTAGAAGAGGATATATGCAAGGCAGTTGTTTTGGAGAGAGGGAGGATTTTCAGCAGATGGACTTAATGACGGTAACTCTGAAAATAAATCATATGTGTGACTAGGTTAAGATGCTTTCTACAATTTTCAGTTATTGTTTTGGGGTATTTTTCAAAAAACACTTAATCAACCAGACAACAAATATTGATGATGTTTAGTATATTTTGTAGTAAGAGTGCACCTTGTTTATTCCCCTGGTCCTATAAACTAAACACACTTAAACTATCTTTTAATGATAATTCTGTTTTTACATGGTAAGGTGAGAACTAGAACTGGCATCTAAATACTTGATGTTCTAAGTTCAAAGAGACACCAGTAATTAGAGCCAGTATATTCCTTCTAGGACTTACAGAGAGACACTCTTCTAATGTAACCATAAAGACCACCAACACAACCACCTTAATCAATACAAAAGAAAGACTTGATATGGGAAAGTTGAAAATGAAGGCAATTGCTTTCCCATGGAGTAGGGCTGATGGCATACTTCTTCTTGCCAAAGTAGAGGAAGGGCCCAGTAGAATTATTCTCAATGATTGCTGGAATAGTCCTGCCTGCCGCTAAGTTGTCAACTGCTGATAATTTATTTAAAAGTTTCCAGGCTACTTTCCAGGCTACTCAGCTGATGCTGAGTGTGAAGAAAGGGCAAGAGGAATGTGGTGTATGAGAAAAGGCAGTGAGACAGCCTGTAATTCACTGTTAAATATGGACCATGATCCATGATTTTCTATGTAGACCATGAGTTAAATGGCTGGGCTTGACCTCTCTTGCCAGTATCAACTCTCTAAGCCTGTTGTACAAACCAAGGGGACCCCACCAGTAAGAAACTATACAGTATGTGGCTGTGAGAGGGAAAAAGATTAACACCAACCTGAAGCTCTCATTCCAGGAGATTATGGAGAGGGCATTACCAGGCCCTCCAAGAAAGCAGAGAAGAATGATGGCCAGTAAGCATAAATAGAGAACAGCCTCTTGAAGGGAAACAGGTAAGAAAGGAAGCTATGTCCACCAGAGAAGTGCAGGAAAGAGGGAAGGAAAATGAGCCATAAATATAACTGAATATAGAGGGAAAGGGGAAGGTTTTGAATTGAATGTAAAATGAAATCTGCAAAACACACAACACTGAGTTTAAAAAACCAGAGAGACTGTTCTGACAAGTGATTGGAAAGTCATGGAATTGAAGGTAGCACCTCAGCAAAAATCAGAGAGGTCAGCATTGCACAAAGTTATCAGAAAAATAAATCTATTCCATGTTTATCCCTCAACAAGTTAAGGCTCCTCAGTGAACTCATTACAGATCTTTAAACATTTTATCATATTAAAATACATTTTAGAATGAAATAACTCCCTGAAAATCATACCACACTAACACATTGATATCATTTTCATAAATTTCTTTTTAGGGTTTGCACATATGTATAGTTATATATTTTACATAGTTATATCCATACCGTAATTTAAATTTTGTCATATTTTCTGTATCATATTCTAGCTAGCATATTATGACCATCCATTGTAAAAGACAAATTACATTTCATTGTTTTATAATTCATAATTTGTAACTATTATCCTATTTTTAAATATTTGTTTCTAAACTTTGCAGCTATAGATAATACAACAATTATTCTCAGTTCATGTGGTTTTTATTATTTTATTGAGTTATTTCTTAGGATTACTGGTTGAAAACATTTCTCAAGGGTTTTGCTATAATATAATTATCAAATTTATTTCCAAAAGTTTTACAATGCAGCCAGCAATAGATAATGGCTTCCCCACAATCTCATCAGTATCATTGTATCACACTATCATTGTTTAAAGTTTTGTTTACTTTAAAAGACATGAAATGGGCCCTTGTTGTTGTTTAAATCTGAACATCTTGGATTCCTTATAAGAGTGAATATTTTCCTTGTCTACTGGTTTTATTTTCTCCTGGATAAGTTGCCTTTTCATATCCTTTGTTCATTTGTCTATCTAAGATTTTCAGGTCATTCTGTGTATTTAAATGAGCTTTATATAGATTGCAAATATTAACTCTATTCCACTTTAAAGCTAGTTACACTTCTCTAGTTCTAGCCTTCCTTATAGCATGTATGTTCATGAGTGCAGCACAAACATCTCCTTACTGTCAGGATGGTCCTCTTGTATTTAATTGTTCTCGCCTCCTAAATTATTCAAAGGCTCATGCCATTTGGGAGGAGAGGTTCATCATTTAGTACATGATTCCCACTCAAGTAATTACATTCTGCTAATTGGGGATATTCCTGTGGCATTCCTGAGGGATAGGATTCTCTGGGACTAAGAGGATTATTTTGGACAGTCAGGGACAACGTGCTCCATGTGTGGGCAAATAAATCCTTCTCTGACATTCCTTGTCCCTTGACAATTATTGAAAAAGACCTATTTACATTCATCCAATACATCCTCTTTCCCCACTCCCATCCCAGGGCAGAAAGTCTGGGACTGTTATGCAGTTCAATAGCGAGAAAGGCTTCACACAGCCTTAGAATGGGACTTGCATGGAAGATAATAGGATGGGGACAAGTGAGTGTTCTAGACCAAGTAACAATAGAGACAATGCTCCTTCAGATACCTCCTGTCTAGATATGCCTAGAGCCTAGGCTCTAATTCTGTAAAAGTAATATCTTCCAACAACACAAGTAAAGGGAGTATTCTATGCATTTCTGTGAAATATTAGAATGAGAGTTTCTGCTCATATATTGAGGTATAAGGGTCCCTTAGAGCCCTTCTGGTAAAATCAAGGAAGTTGTTCTGGCATCCTTAGCCTGACTACTATGCAGAAATAACATTGCTACAAGAAGAAGTCAATGAATATTTCCCATAAGCTTTCTGTTTTGCCAAGAATGTTAAGCCTGCAGGCAGAGAAGCAAAATTATAGGAGAAAGTAGGGTGGTGAGCAGTAAATACATGATAAGGCTGTGTGGTTTGCAGGTGAAGACAAATTGTTTTAAAGATTATAAAGACTTTCTGGGTGTACATACAACACTCACGAACACCTGACAACAGGTCTCCATTGTTTCATTCAGAAACAACTTATTTCATCCTCCTTTGCTAGTTTCTTAAATTTATAACAGATCAGTTTAAATTATACCTTTCTGCCAAATATCTCCTTACATTATATTAATAAAAGGTTTGTCAAAATGAAGAACCAATGAATTCAAGAAACAGCCAGAAACTTATTGAAGATTTGAACATCTCCAAATCCTGACCATTATTGACTTATATTTCTATGAACATAAAACCACGGAATCACATAATTCATATAGCTCATCTGCTAAAACAGTTATTGTTCCATCAGCACATTGTCAAGTATTAAGGAAAAATTATTATTACTTTTATGCCACTCTTGGTAAACAAAAACAAGGTCCTACACTTAGATAAGAAAGAGAGCTGTGCACATGAGTGACTAAATAACTGAGGTTAAGAGTCCTCGACTCAAAAATATCTCTTTTAATCACTCTTTCAGTAACTGCTGAAAGCAGAGATTGACTTTTTGGCAATTATCCCATTAAACTGTAAATAGTCCCCAAATAGGACAACATAGAAAAATATTGTCAACCATTCACATTTTGATACAAATTTCATTGTGATACTTCTCAGGGAACTATTTATAGAAAATGCTCTTCAAAAGAGAAATAAATTAAAAATTTATCCAGAGAATAGAAGATACTAAGTTCAGGGCAGTATGAAGGCAATAACTTTTTTTTCCCCTAAGCCAAAAATGCAAGATGAGAATCTATCAAGGAATCTTCACCTATTTGTCAAATTGTGAAAACTGCAAGGTCTGAATTAACTCAACCATGACAAAAATGTCCATTTATATTGTTACCCCATAGAACTACTCTGATTCTGAATTTATATTTCAGAAGGGTGAAATCGAAAGAGCCCTGCTCAGATTTTATGTCCTGGTAATTAAACTAATTTCCTCTCTTCAGTCCTAGAGCAAACACAGCTAGTTGCCTATCCAATATCTTTCCTAACTTTTGTTTTTCAATAGGACCCTGACTTTTTGGAGAGGCAGCAATCTGTCCAGCTAAAAATACTTGTTTTCCCAGACTCCCTTGCATCCTAATCAGGTGGCACAGTCCTGCTCTAAGAAATGTAAGCAGACATCTGCTGGGATTGATGAGAAAGCTGTTGCTTTCCTGATATAGTCACCATCCATTCCCGCCTCCCTCTTCACTCCTTTATCTTTCATTTTTGTTTGCTAAAATATTAGCATAAGACATGGCGGGCAAGCATCTTTCTTGCAATCACAAGATGCCAAGATTGAGGGCAAAAGCCTACAAACTACGTCTGGCAGAACAGAAACATGGAAGAATTTAGGTTCCTGGTGGCATGATTGAGCTGCCACACCTAGTCTGTACAACCTACTCCCAAACTTCTTGCTACAGGAACCAAAGCCCTACCTGTTAGGGTCACTGGGGCAGTTTTCTGTTAGTTGCAGCCAAAAGCAACCCTAACAGGTTCCCTTTGATCCTGTTCTGACCCTACACAAATATCACATAAAAACAGATATTAGGATGGAATTTATTAAAATTTGCTTCAAGTCTTATCCTGTGAATTTCTGAGCATACACACATAAAGAAATAAACTCTACTGTGATAAACTCATCACCTGTTCAGACCTGTGTTCTCTCTCTGACATGCCACGAAACATTGATTTCTATCTCCCATTTAACAGATATTTATTCAGTGCCTACTACATTCCAGCCACAAAATATATAGAATT
This sequence comes from Homo sapiens, assembly GCF_000001405.40. Classification (NCBI taxonomy): domain Eukaryota; kingdom Metazoa; phylum Chordata; class Mammalia; order Primates; family Hominidae; genus Homo; species Homo sapiens. Next base: position 35,580,184 of record NC_000015.10, on the reverse strand, counting down.
CTTCCATTATTAGAGCTTATCTCTAACTTTCAAAAAAATCTTGTATTCTAAGAAATATGCCCATTGATTGTGGTGATGTTGACTGAATATTTCTTTTCAACTGTTTAGCCTGTTACCATATGGAATATAAAGCATCTGTTCTACATAGATTGAAGAATAGAATTTCTAAAGTGAAAAATATCACTAAAGGTGCATTGAAATTTAAAAGCAGGAGGTCCATGAATGAATGCTGCAATACCCAATTAAAAAAAAATCTTATCTGAGTAATGAAGTTTTTAGACATCTACAGTTTTACTGTTTCCCTTTGCATTCTTTTATTTATCTGAATAAAGTCAAGTGATGGATAGAAGACAGCCCTTCCTGATGCTCAATAAAAGGCATGTTTGTGTATTAGACACTGTGGGAAGTATTCTAAGAAGCGACAAGCTTGCAAAAGATGTAACCATCTAAGCTCCCCAGCTTCATGACAGCTTAAATCATCTATTCCAAACTGCCAGTCACATACTTTTTGACTCTTCTTGGTGGGATTTTAGGAGTGTCTAACGTTTAGGGACGAGCATTCTTTGTGAATTTAGGTAGAGACTGATTTTAACTTGCTTTTTCCCCTATGGACACAGCATTCTTGGACTGGTCCTGAGTGTTCCCCTGGGTCCATAATGGATGGGCCTCTTATGGAAATAGTCAATTTGGGAAGGGGCACAACATATAATACAATAATCCTGTGTAAATTGTAAGAAACTGGAGTGGAACCCAAGTATACAGTAAGTCATTTATGAATACAACTCACAATGCATAAGGCTGGAGGCACTATATTTTTCTACCAGCTCGGCTCCCTGCTATGATTTAGATCTAATAGGATACACATGCTGTTTGTTTGTCTTTGTATTGGCAATATGCTTATAATAAATTGTATGGTTTCCATGAGCATACTAAGGATTGAGTGAATTAATTTTCTTGTTTGGTGACACTAGCTTGTCCTACTCCAATACAAAGCATAGATGGTGTCAGAATTGTACTTGAGCATCAAATATGAATATGTGCACTTACATTTGAATATAGACCTATGGGCTCTTTCTCATTAGACTATTAAACATGCATGTACACACACATACATGCACACCTAAATATATATGTATATATGTGTTTGTGTGTGTGTGTGTATATATGTGTATATATATATTTTATAGTTTGTTCTTAGGATGGTCTATATTCTGAAGATTAATGTAGTCTATATATGCCTCTACTTTACCAGAAGAGTACATATTGTTTCTAAAGGAAATTAATTTAGAAATAAAATGTTCCTTCTCTAAAACTCCTCCTCTGAACGTCTAGAAGTAAAAACTCTACCCTGCATGACTTGACCAGGAAGCCACACTTGAAAACTATGCCTGTCCTATTCTTGAGGTAACATTAGGTCATAAATATCATTTAGACGGTAATGCTTTAATATCAAAACAACCTTGAAAAAATGTCTTTTTAATTATGTTGATAATATGATTAAAACATAATATTGTGTCCTTTAAAGGACTTTGTAGTAACTCTAAAGGCAGGAGAGATGTTAGGGGTGTGTGTGCCACTTTTCCCACCTTCACACATGCACACCTGGAGATCCACTTTTACTGATGAGTTATCTTTAAAAATTACAGGCATATGAGGATAGATGAAGGTCTAAAAATACTTTTCAAAATAAAAATATAAAAATAGTTAAAGAAAGCAGTTAAAACATTTTTAATTCAATTACACTTACAACAACTTCATTAAATGTATAGTCTTTAATTGGCTTAAAAGAGAAAAATACTACCTTTTGCTTCATGACAAGTGTTTGGTCAAAATATACATGATTATACTTGTTATCTTTCCTTTTAATACTACCAAACACATAAACACACACAGACACACACACACTCTCCAGATAAACCTGAAGAAGACTGGTGGATGCAGCCATGGTTTTTTTGTTTTGTTTTGTTTTTGATACAGAGTTTCACTCTTGTCACCCAGGCTGCAGTGCAATGATGCAAACTCAGCTCACTGCAACCTCCTCCTCCCAGGTTCAAGCGATTCTCCTGTCTCAGCCTCCCGAGTAGCTAGGATTACAAGCGCCCACCACCACATCTGGCTAATTTTTGTATTTTTAGTAGAGATGGGGTTTCACCATGTTAGCCAGGCTGGTCTCGAACTCCTGACCTAAGGTGATCTGCCTGTCATGGCCTCTTAAAGTGCTGGAATTACAGGTGTGTGCCACAGCACCTGGCCACATCCATGGTGTTCTAATGTAACTCTTAATCACTTCGATGTAGTTTATCCAGTCACAAATGATGCAGAAAAATGGGAAAAAGGTGAGACTTGTTCCTATCTTCTCTAACAAATAAACTCATTAAATTGAATTATTAATAACTAGAATCACAACATAAGCAGTTAATAATTCTCAACTCAGAAGAAGAGGTAAAAGGGTGGGTGGGATATTTTTCCTGAGCAGAAAAATATCAAATCCTAACTGAGGATCAGATAATGCCTCGTGTTGGAGAATGTTTCTCTAGGGGATATGCATTTTATTATATTATCATTGCTATTGTTGAGGCTAGTATTGCAACCATCCCTGTCCTTAGATGACATGAGTTGGTTTTGCATGTTCCCTCATATATGAATCTATGCCTAGATGAAGTAAGTATCTAGACTACCGATGGGGTCTGATATAGATTCAGCAAACCAAATTTCTAAGTATATACCCTTGTTCTGATAGCAGATTAATACCTTGAGGTCGAAGAGTCGGTGCCTAGGTCCTCTTTGTTTCCCTTTACTTTCTGTGTTGATATGTCTGAACAATAGGTCTAAGATAACTCACCATAACACTCAAGGTTCACATATATGAATAAAGATTATTTTTCACATTAGATTTCCCAGAGAGCAAATTATAAGAATACATAAAATATTGTTGATAAATAAGACAAATGGTAACAACCATAGCAGTTTTTAACACTTAACAAATGATTTCTAAATTTGCAATTTCATGACTGAGTTCTTTTTTAAAATTTTTTTATTTTAATTTTTGTGGGTACATAGTAGGTGTATTTATAGGGCACATGAGCTGTTTTGATATAGACACGTAATACATAATAATCATGATTGAGTTCTTAAATCACAAAATGCCTCCAGTCATTATAAAGTTTGTATATTAATTGACAATATAAATGTCTTCAAAAGTTAGTCAAAAGGTTATCAAAACCAAGCCTTTACTGTGGAATTAAAATCTGCCCTATGCATGGACTTTTACATTTTATTGGGTTATTCACCCTCAGTTTTTCTAATATATCTGTTAAAATTTTGTTTCCTCCAAATCTGGCTATGTTATTCTGCTGAGGGCTTGGCAATTCAAGTAGCAGCTCTAAAATTAAAACTGTTGTTGATGTTTTATCCTCTTTGTATCATTTATCCCAAACAGGCCTGGTAGCTATATGCCTGGAGCTAGGTCAGGGCAGAGAAGGCTTCTAAGCCAGCTCACTGCGGCTTAGAATGCTGCAAGCCCATTCCAACCTTCCTTCTCCAGCATTAAGTGGTGGGCTTCCTCTGTGCCATTTCCACACTTGTAAATATTTTAGTCAGCAGGATCCCACAGGAGCAGGGAAAAAAAATCTGACTCTTGCCCTTCTTTTGTTTCACATCTTTTTTTCTCCTTAGAGGGAGAAAAAGGATTTTTAAAAAAAATTTTTAAGGCTTTGATCCTGAGAAAAACCAGTTAAACTCTAAGACTTGGTATTTTTCAACAAAAAAATCAGATATTCCTCTTCAGAAAGTTTAGTCTCAATATTGTTATGCTATAAATCAGTGATTTCTAAACTTTCAAATTTTATGAACCTGAATATTAATCAACAATGTAAAAAATTAGGAAATTGACAGAGTTGCCAACTTTTTATATTCCCTCTTTTCATTTTCTCACATGATAATTTTAATACATAATCACTACATTTTATCACTTTAGTATCATGAAAAGACAATTTGACAATGAAGTAGTAGGAAGAATCACTGAATAAAATGCAGTATCTTATTAAATTGAATAAATTTGACTTAATACAATTCCCAATACTTTGTCTTTCTTGTTTTTGCCAGCCCAGTGGAAATATCTTCACTGGTTAGCACCAACTGATACACATTAAAAGCATATTCCGAATGAGCAGAGAGACTTTTTTCAGTTACTGGTGAGTTTCCCATTATTCTTTGCAAAATTGTATTAGAGTTTTCAGGACTAGAAAATATTTGATTAGAATGATGCACCAGTATCTTGCTTCTCAGAAATAGAGATCATTAGAATTTCAGTGACCTTCCAAATCCACTGGGTAGATGCTCTCATTTTGTAGATAAGAAAATCAAGGCCCACTGGAACCCAATTTCTAAATACCAAACAACTTCCCTTAACTACAGGTGTCAGCCTCCATCTGTTTATAGCCATAAGATAGCCTTTCAAGTTTGTAGTCAACATTTGGTGTTTAATAGGTATCAGATACATTCATGTGTTATTTCAGTTAATGCTAATTACAACATTATGCTGTGAGAGTTAGCAGGCCCATTATACAGATCAAGAAAATAAAATTCAATATGTAACTAACTTAAGCTCATACTTCTAGGAAGTGGTAGAGTGCCCATTTAATGGGACTTTCTCCAACTTAATTTTTATGTTTTATAATTCAACTAACAAGCATTTATTGAGTGGCTTCCATAGACCCAGCACCCTGATTAGTGCTACAGGGAAAACAGAAAAAGTGTAAAACATGGTCCTATCCACATGAAATAAAGAAAAATATTGTTAAAGATAGCCAGATAAATATTAACAGGTGGGATATATCCACCTTTTTGCCTCTCCATTTTCTATGGAAACCTCTGTCTTTGCCAGCCCAGTTCCCAAGCGTGTGATACAGAATTGAGAAAACAGGGAGAAAAAGACAGGCTTGGTCAGCGGAGAGAAGTGGGTTGGACACAAAGCACAGAAAGTAGGGAGAACTGAGATTTTCAGAAAAGTTTTTTGGAGAGAGTTGGTGGTGAGAGCTCCAATTCAGCTTTGAGGTGTAAGACCATCAGGGAGAAAGAAAAGACCTTTAGTGAAGTGTGGCTATGGGTTAAAAATTTCATATCTTTAGTGTTCTTCATAAATAGACATAAAGTTTGGAATTCCTTTTTAGTAATTTTTGGTACCTGATATGTTTATTGTACCTCAATCTATTATTATCTCATATCTATATCTATATCTATATATGAGAGCACAGAGTTTGGGGCACAAATACTCCTGAGGGGCATATGGGTTACATAGTAATTATATTCTTACATTTCATTAGCATATTCATCTTTTGGGAAAATATAGATACACATTATCTTGTACAGTCCACTCAAAAACTCATCGAAATATGTGGAAGCTGTGGCTTACTAAAGGGATTTTCCCCAAAATTATACAATTAACAAAGTAACAGGATTGAGATTATAACCTCAGTTTCCAGACTCTATATCCAACGCTTTTATCTACCACATAGGCCACGTAAAACAATTAATAAATAATATAAGAAAGGATATAATTTAGTGCATATAGATCCATGCTTGGCACAGACCAGGCTCTCCACAAATATTTGTTAAATGGTTGAATAAATAAGTGCTAAAATGTGGGGTACACTCAATGCACTGCCAAAGTTCATATAGGGAAGGCAGAGACCTCCTGGGCAGGAGCTGTCAGACAAGAGACAGAGGCATCCCAAGCAAGGCACAGCGGCGAACTGCGGGGGATATTTTTACAAAAGAGCGAGGAGGCTACTCAAAGAGACAGGTGATGTTTGGGACAGGATGGGAAACAAAATGGTAGGAGATTATTACAAAGAATTTGCCAGCTAGGTTGAGGATCTTAGAGCCGACAGGAGAAGAAAAAGGGATCCCTTCAACTTCCCCTGCCCTCATTTATTCATTAGGAGAAGAGAGAGTGGAAAAACTGTATTTTAGTAAGAGTAACCCAGTGTGGTACATGTCTAGGAACCCAGGGTGAGTTAGACGGATGCCCCTCCAGACTGGCACACTGGCTTGATTCCAGGCCATAATGATAGCTCCCTCCCGCAAACTTTCCATCATTTCCTGTACATGGTTAAATTTTTTTTATGTTATCTACTGCATTGTTGGATGAAACTGGAATTTATTTTATGTCACTATGTTTTCATATGCTTAGGCAAAACACCCCAGTGCCAGCCTTTTTTAAGTCCCATTTCCCCTTGAAGACAAAGATAAAAAATTGTGTTTTTTATGGCACAGTCTTTTGGAGACTCAGAAATCATTTACTAATTGCTCTTTTAAAAAAATTAACTTCCACATATGTAGAAGGTACACTCCAGATTCTTACGTGCATGTATTGCATACTGGTGAAGCCTGGGCTTTTAGCGCACCATCGTTGAAACAGTGAACATTGTATACAATAGGTAATTTTTCTTTTCATTTTTTTGGAGACAGAGTTTTGCACTGTCATCCAGGCTGGAGTGCAATGGCGCAATCTCAGCTCACTGCAACCTCCACCTCCTGGGTTCAAGTGATTCTCCGGCCTCAGCCTCCTGAATAGCTGGGATTACAGGCACCCGTCACCATGCCCGGCTAATTTTTGTATTTTTAGTAAAGACGGGGTTTCACCACGTTGGCCAGGGTGGTCTCAAACTCCTGACCTCAGGTGATGCGCCCGCCTCGGCCTCTCAAAGTGCTGGGATTACAGACATGAGCCACCGCACCTGGCCCCAATAGGTAATTTTTCAGTCCTCACCGCAGTTCTACCCTCCTACATTTTGTAGTCTCCAGTGTCCATTTTTCTACTCTGTATGTCCATGAGTACCCATTGTTTAGCTCTCACTTATAAGTGAGAACATTAAGTATTTGACTTTCTGTTTCTGCTATTTCACTTAGGACAATGGTCTCCAATTCCATCCACATTATTTAAAAAGACATGATTTCATTCTTTATTATGGCTAAGTGGTAGTCTATGAGATTGATACACACACACACACACACACACACACACACACACACACACACACCATATATATAACCCATTAATAGGTTGACAGGATTAGGTTGTAAGTGGGGATATTTGGAGACACAGACTTGAACTCACTCAACTTTTAGTGAATGTTTAAGTATGCATTGTAGTTCTGAACTTTTTTTTACCATTAAGTAAAGCTTTTATAGTTCATTATATTCCATAGCACCCATTTTGGAAATATTTTGCTTATCAAACAAACTCATTTAAAGCAGTATTAAGCTTCCTGTTTTATTACACATACACATCTGTTAATTAAAACCTCCATTCATTATGAAGAACTAGTATGTAATCTTGCTGAACTGGTAGAATTATAGCCAACAGTCAAGAGACCTGTTTAAACAGTCTATGCAGCCTTATCATTGTGATGGATAATTTCCTTTAAAGTTTAGGAATGTTGACTGTAAAACTCATGGATTCCCCAACATTATCATCACAGCCGTGGTAGTCCAGCAAGCCTGGGCTGAGAATCACGGATTAAATACCTACAAGGCACTGATCTTGGTGCTAAGTGCTGAAAATGTGAAAATAAATAAGCCATGGATCCTTCCTTAGTATGCTCAGAGTTTAATTTCTGATATGACTAGCCTTGCCTTTTGAGTGCACAATAATACCTGACTGGATTTCTCACTGAACCACCCCAAATTTATTCTGTTTATTTTCTTGACCACCTAGGGTTCTCCCAAGGGCAGACCACTTAAGAACTTTTATATTTTCTTATGGCATAATGTAGGCATTTCTCATCTGCCAGGGAATCTGGGAGCTGCCTGAGAGCAGTCTCTCCCAGGTTTACACTAAACAAGAAGGCAACACTTTATTAAATTAAAATCACTCAACATAAATTGGACTGGTCTTTGGATTTAAATCCTAGCTCTTCCACTTTTGAGCTAAGGGACTTAGGGCAAGTTTCTAACCTTCTCAATGCCTCAATGTTCTTATCTGAAAAGCTGCAATAATAATAGTACTTGCCTCCTAAAGTTTTATGAAGATTAAATGATATTATGTATATAAAGCATGTATTATAATATTGGCAATAGTGAGTTCTTAATAAATTTCATCTATTATTGTAATTATTAAAGAGGAAAAAAAGAGGAATGGAAATATATGGATCTTTAGCCAGAAAAGTATCAGGTTTGAGGAGAATTAAGCAAAGGATAGGTGGAGATAGATGGACAAGAGCAAAGACAGAGTGAGGAAGGTGAAGCAACAGGGCAGAAAAGTTTGAAGGATGTACTACAGGACTTGGTGTCTCTCTTTTCTGGGTAATTTTTGGTAACTGTTTATAATTTTAAATATCTTAGTATGTTTAAAATAGAATAAAAATATATATTGCTTGCTTTAGGGAAAAGATGTCTTTAGGAATTATAGAAAGATATGTAGACAGATTTTTCCTTGTGATAGTTCAAATAAAGATGAAATTAATAGTGAATCTAAATAAGGCCAACACTTTTAACTTCCAACTCTTCGAAAATTATTTTTCTAAATTCTAGTTGGATTAACAAGAAATCAAAATTCATTCTGTAACCTTGGAATTTGAAAGCTATTAGTTCCCTGTTGCTGCTGTAACAAATTACCACAGGTAATGGCTTCAAACAACATGCATTTATTATCCTACTGTTCTGGAGGTCAGAAGTTGGAAATGATTCTCACTGCGCTAAAAATTAAGGTGTTTTCAGGGCTGTATTATTTTCTGGAGGACCCAGGAAATAATCCATTTTCTTGCCTTTTCCAGCATCTAGAGACTATATACATTCCTTGGCTCATGGTTTGTTTCCATTGTCAAGACCAGCAACGTCCAGTCAAGTCTTTCTCATATTGTATTTATTTGACACTGAGTCGTCTGCATCCAATTTCGACATTTAAGGATCCTTATGATTACACTGGACCCACTGGCATAATCCAGCATAAGCTCTCCCCAGCTCAAGGTCACCTAATTAGCAATCTTAATTCCATTTGCAACCTTAATGAGTTTGTAACCTAAAGTCATGTAACCTAATATTCGGGGGTTCCAGGATTAGAATATGGTCATTTTGGGAGGGCCATTATTTTGCCTACCATAAGAATGTACAGTACCAATTTCATTTTTCTTTAGCTTTTCATGCTTACAGAACTCAAAAATAAGAGATCCAAATTTTGCATTGTCATAAATACGGGTAATTAATTAATGTCATGAATGAAGATTACTTCTAAAGTCCAATTAGAAAACAGTTCCTCCCACTTACTAATAATTTGGGAAAATTGATTAAACTTTCTGTGTAATAATTTCCTCATTTTAATTGAGAATCATAATATCTACTTCATATTGTTGTCAGAATTAAATAAATTATGTATGTAAAAAATTTAGGAAGGCATCCAAATTGGAAAAGAAGTAAAATGTCTCTGTTCACAGATGACATGCTCTTACATGTAGAAAGTCCTAAATATCCCACACAAAAACTACTGTTAGAAATAAATCCAGTAAAGTTGCAGGATACAAAATCAACATTCAAAAATCAGTTGTGTTTCTATACACTAACAATGAGTAATCCAAAAAGGAAATTAAAACAATCAAGTTACAATAGTATTTAAGAGAATAAAATACTTAGGAATCCACTTAACCAAGGAGTAAACTTGTACACAGAAAACAAGAAAACATTACTGAAAGAAATTAAAGAAGATGCAAATAAAAGGAAAAACATTCCATGTTCATGGATTGGAAGATTTAATATTGTTAAAATGTCCATATTACCCAAAATAATGTATAGATTCAATGCAATCTCTATTAAAATCCCCATGGCATTTTTTACAGAAATAGAAAAAACAATCCTAAAGTTCACATAGAACCGCAAAGGACCCCAAAGAGCAAAAACAATCTTGAGAAAGAAAAACAAAGTGGAAAGTCTACACTTCCTAATTTCAAAACATTTAACAAAATTACAGTAGCCAAAACAATATGATACTAGAATAAAGATTGGCACATAAACCAATGGAAGAGAAGAAAGAGCCCAGAAACAAACCTACACATATATAGGCAAATAACCTTTGATAAGAGCACCAAGACTACACAGTGGAAAAAGAACAGTCTCTTCAATAAGTAGAGTTGGGAAAACTAGATGTCTACAGGCTAAAGAATAAAACTGAACTCTTACATACGCAAAAATTAGTTCAAAGTGAATGAAAGACATAAATGTAATACCTACAATTATAAAACTCTTAGAAAAAAACATGAAGGACATTTTTAAAAGCTACATAACATTGGTCTTTGCAATGATTTCTCAGATATGACACCAAAAACACAGGGAACAAAAGCAAAAATGGACAAGTTGGGACTACATCCAACTAAAAACTTTCTGTACAACAAGAAAGCAATAAACAGAATGAAAAGGGAAACTACAGAATGGAAGACAATATTTGCAAACCATATATCTGATCAGGAGTTAACATCCAAAATAAAAGAGAAACACCTACAACACACCAGCAAATAATAACAATAACCTGATTTTTGAAATGGGCTTAGGATTTGAAAAGACGTTTCTTCAAAGAAGATACACAAATGACCAACAAGTATATGAAAAGATTCTCAGCATCACTAATCATTAAGAAAATGCAAATCAGAACCTCAATAAGGTATCATCTTACACCTGTTAGGATGGTTATTATACACACACACACACACACACACACACACACACACACACACAGAGAGAGAGAGAGAGAAAAAGAGAGAGAAAGAGAGAGAGGGAGAGAAAATGAGAAGTGTTGACAAGGATGTAGACAAGTTGGAACCCTTATGCACTCAGAGTGGGAATGTAAAATGGGTTAATGGCTATGAAAAACAGTAAAAACCGTCCTCAAAAAGAATTAAAATAGAATTCACATATGACCCAATAATCCCACTTCTGGGTATTTATCCAAAAGTAGTTAAATCATTATCTAGAAGATATATTTGCATTCTAACATTCACTGCAACATTATGCACAATAGCCTAGAAATAGAAATAATCCAAATGTCCATTAAGAAATGAATGGATAGAAAAAATGTGATATATACATATAATGAAATATTATTCAGCCATAAAAAGAAATTCTGCCATATGCTATAACATGAATGTACCCTGAAGACATTATGCTTAATTGAAATAAGCCAATCAAAGAAGGACAACTACCGCATTATTGTGCTTACACGAGGTATCTAAAGTAGTTAAACTCATGAAAACAGGAAGTAGAATGGTGATTGCCAGAGGCTGGAAGAAGGGGGAAATGGGGAGTTGCTATTCAACAGGTATACAGTGTCAGTCATACAAGATAAAAAAGTTCTAGAGATCTGTTTCACAACATTGCACTTGTAGTAACAATTCTGTACTCTACACTTATAATCTGTTTAGAGAATAGATCTTATTTTTACCACAATAATAAAAAATTGGACAACATATGAGTTGTGAATATATTTTAGTTGCTATAATTAGTCAACTTTATGATCTATACAGTTTCTTGTTTATATGTGGTTTTATAAATTCATCAGTCTTTACCAATTCATCTATTAATTCAGTCCATCCACTTATTCACCAGCATTTTTGGAGCATCTATTGCACAATGAACAGCACACTACAATAATAGGAATAACAAAAATGTCTTATAATTGTGTAGCACCATTTGCATTTCCATAACTTTATCTTGCCTGATCCTACTTAGATGAAATAGTTCCTGCTATTAGGTCTTAGAGTCTCCTTGAAGAAAACAAATTACGTACAAATTCAAACACCATAGACATGGTATTGAAATTTTGTAATATTGTGGATGGGCACTCACTCAGGCTTAATTCATTAAGTATGAGTCTCTGGAATTAGGAGCACCAAAGCAGGGAATGATAAAGTGTCTGCCATCTCAGCCTAGATTGAGTTCTTCTTTCATATAGGGTTGCGAAGACTAGACTCAAGAGGTTAATGAGACCCCAACAGTTCAAACAATAACAACAACAAAAGTGGGTAAAGGGGGAAAGGAACTATGGTGGCTGTAATACTTCCATAAGTTCCTCCATCAAGCAGGGAAATCTACCGTAGATATTTCTGGGTCTATGCTTCCAAATAAGGAGTGGTGAAAAAAACCCAGAAACAAAATTATTTGTACAAAATTTGTCAGGTTGAGACCTGAGAAATTTTATAAGGCAAACACTGTGCCTCCTTCCCCACGACTGGTATTTTGATATATCCATTCACTTTCTCATAGGTTAATTATTGATTTTATAGTCACTTCACACCTTAGAGGATGGGGTAGGAGGAGTTTGAGTGGTATCCCCAAGATAAAGAAAAGACCAATATAACACAGATGGAATACGGAACCCAAAAAAGAAACAACAAATAAAGGCATAAGATAAGAATTTCAGCTTGAACATTCCATTCCTTGCACTAATCTCTTGAGTTTGACTGCCCATCGGGAGCTTTGCTCTCAGGTGGATTTCTGAGAAGAGAAAGCCACCATTTGCTTGCTATACCCTGGGGCCAACCAGCTGCCAAGTGCCAGCTGAACAGAGGTGTATCAAGAGGCCTGCAGTCAAAAGGCAGCAGGATGGCCAATTGCCATCAATTTCTGCAGCAAGTCTGGCATCATGGCATCTTGGCATCTTGCTGCTCTCCCCCTCCCCCAGGTTAATTGCTAAGAACCTCAGCCTTGAAAGCTTACCCTACCAACTTCAGCTACTTTCTCCTTTCCCTGTACCACTCTAATAGCTTATCTTCTTACACCCTGGTAGTAAAATGAAATCTCATATACCTGGTTCTATTTGGGGGACCACCTAAGCTCTAATGTAAATGTTTCTCTCCCCCCTTGCAACATACTCATGGGTAAAGGCAGAATTGCCACGTCCCCCTTGGACCTGATTGCTAGGCAACACTCAGCCATGTGAATTTGTCACTTCTGTTTGGCGCAAATTTCAATTTCACCTCCAACTGTAACAACACTGCTTGATATATTTTAGATGCCACTGTGGTTGGATGGCATCCCAGGAAAGATGTGAAGTGCTACTGCCAGGAATGAATGATTGGCATTGGGTAAAGCAATTCTCTGAACTCAGCCTTGGCATACCATTAATTGTTAAGTCTGTTCTGCTACCACCAACCTCTTGTCAGAATCATGTCTATTGTAAGCCTTTGCGACAAGAGTCCAAATGGTAGAGTTCTCTCCCTCTGTAAGATCCGAATTATGTCGATAATGAAGCAGTGGATTTCTCGGCTCACAATATATTACTTTCTACTTTCATCTATCGGCTGCACTTTCTTGTGAAAAGAAAAATAGCTGCACGTCTGAATATTACTAAGCTAAGAGCTACTGTGTGCCAATCGAGGTTCTATCCCTGAATAGGAAACTTACCTTCCCTTTGGTTCTTTCATCACAATCTGCTTTTATTTGTGGTAACAATTAAATGCTACGATGAAGAAACAAGTTATTAACAGCAGATAAAATTAATGCTAAACATACTCTGCTAAAAATAAGCATAATATTCTATATGTAAAATTTACATACTGCCATTAGATCCGAAAATATGTAACATGTAAATGATCATAATTTTTGAATAAACACATGCCATTACTGGCAAAATATAATGCTATAATTCCCAAAGTCTCCATATAATGTTTATATATATGTACCTACATATTGAATATTATTTGTCCTTAAAAACATTCAATTGCCTATCCACCTACTTTGAGTATCCTTAAATACTCCACAATTACACATTTGACCCTAAAGATGCTACTCTGTGGAATGATTTCCTTTCTGTGTTCTGTGCTAAGTAATGGTGAAAATAGTAAATCTGTTTTGAGTCCCCTTCAGCCCTTATGTCCACCAACTTTTCAGTCAATTTGTTATTTTTTTTTCCTCAAATTAAAACATCTTCAGAAAGCTTGAAGGTATTTTCCTAGAATGAATCTAATTAAATAGGAGTCAGTCGGCTATGAGTAAAAATAGTATTTCAGAGTTTACGTGCATTATCTGATTCATTGGAAACAAAAGGAGTTTCTGTAACGGTGTGAATGAACCATGAAGTGTGCATGTTCTTTTAAGAAAGGCCAAGGGTGCAGTTCTATTTTCTTAGCTCTGCTTTCATATTTATGTGTCTCATTTCCAGCTCATTGCTGATGCCTCAGTTGTGCTATCCATCACCACTTTTATCCTCCTTGTTCCTCAAAAAGAACATAAAATCCTTTTTTATGTGGTGGTAATATTATTGCAAATAAAAGCAAATACCAAAATCTTTATTAGTCTGCCAAAATAATAAACTATTTAATAAAAGCATGCTGTAAAAATAAGGTCATTTGCATCACTCAAGGTTCTTGCAGGAAATACAGAGAATTATTGGTCAAAAAAGTACAAACTGACAGCAATTATTTCTGTTGTTCATCTGACGCACTGTGCAATAGGGTTAAAATTTTGTTGATATCTTGTATATTTTGAGTTTAAATGCCTTTAATATTGCTTAAAACCGGTTGAACACTGGAAAATGAAAAAAAGTTCAATCCTCACAATATACTGATTCCCTCGTTATAAAAATAATTTTGGTAAGGGAGAAGAACTAACTACGCTGATTTCTTTTTGGTACCTTTTTCACAAATGTGGAAATTGACCTTCTGATAACCTTGATATCCCAAGATTTATTGCCTAAATATTTACCATCTTAATATCCAATATTAATTTTATTTGCTGTGGATTTGTGTCTGTGCTTCAGTCGTATAATTTTTCCCCTCTTTGTATTCACCTTTTGTCATTTCTGCATGCACACCAATATAAGATGTTTTATTTGAGGTTAGTTTAATAGTGAAAGTTAACAATAAATGTGCTATTTCTAAATAAATGTCTAATGTTTGATCTTTTAGCCTATTGCAATATAAACGTACCAATTCTTTTTGCCTTGCAAATTTATTCTCAGATGGCAGATTTGCAAATATATTATTGATATGTTTGTAACATAGCAAAATCAGTAGCCATGGTGAGGACTAAAATATCATTTGTATAGTTTTTGCATTCTCAAGAACAACCTGTATACCAGTTCTTCTGCATAAAAAGCAAACATGGCAATTAAATAAACATTATAAATCTTTTCAAAAATCAGATATGATTTACATTATTTGTTCCATGATGACATTTACAATCAAGAAAAGCGCTTCAAACTCCAGTTATCACTATTTTAACTTTATAAAGCCTTTTGTCTATGGTTGTTTCTTTAGGCCACAAACTGACCATTGCCAGTTTTACTGACATCAGGTTAACCTAAGAAAATGAAGAGCTATTTCTGTATCAGGTAATAAACCCATGAGATAACTCAACTATGAAAATGTGGACAGAAGGCTGGTTGTGGTGGCTCACGCCTGTAATCCCAGCACTTTGGGAGGCCGAGGCGGGTGGATCATGAGGTCAGGAGATCGGGACCATTCTGGCTAACACGGTGAAACCCCGTCTCTACTAAAAATATAAAAAATTAGCCAGGCATGGTGGCGGGCGCCTGTGGTCCCGGCTACTTGGGAGGCTGAGGCAGGAGAATGGTGTGAACCCAGGAGGCGGAGCTTGCAGTGAGCCGAGATCACACCCCTGTACTCCATCCAGCCTGGGT
The DNA here is from genome assembly GCF_000001405.40 of Homo sapiens. Taxonomy (NCBI): domain Eukaryota; kingdom Metazoa; phylum Chordata; class Mammalia; order Primates; family Hominidae; genus Homo; species Homo sapiens. Next base: position 35,564,559 of record NC_000015.10, on the reverse strand, counting down.
GACAGAACAAAAAAAAAAAAAAAAAAAGAAAAGAAAATGTGGACAGAAGAGATAATACTTTGGGATGTAAATAAAGGCAATTAAATTAAGATACTGTATTTTATGGCTAAATTGTGTCCCCCCAAAATTCACATTTTTAAGCCCTAATCTCTAATATCTCAGAATGTGACTATATTTGGAGATAAGGCCTTTAAAGAAGTCATTCAGCTAAAATGAATTCATATGAATGGGCCCTAATCCTATCTGACTGACATCTTTATAAGAAGAGAAAATGTGGATACACAAAGAGACCCTGGGATTGTGAAGCACAGAGAGATGACCACATTGAGAGACAGCAAGAGGGTAGCCGTCTGCAAGCCAAGGAGAAAGGACTTAGAGGAAATCAACCCTACTAGCACCTTGATCTTGAATTTCTAGCCTCTGGAACTGGAATAGAATTTCTGTTGTTTAAGCCTCCCAGCCTGTGGTATTTTGTTATGACAGCTCTAGAAAATTAATATATTATGCAATATAAATACGGATTTAAAAAAAAACTATTTGTGACACCAAATCAAAGACAGTATTTATTTTGGCCAAATCTACTACCCAAGTGGATTGAAGATACACAATCCAACTGACTGTATGTAACTCATTCTCATGGTAAAACAAACATCCAGTATGAACCCTTATCTGTATTGTCACACAGATACAGTCTGAAAATCTTGCTCCATATTTAAAGTTCTTTGTATCTCAGGAGTTCTTAATATAGAGTCCATAGACCTTTTGGTATTTATTGTATGTCACATTTTGTGGGCTTTGCATATATTCATTGTAATGAGAAGTGTGTCATCCCAAAAGTTAAGAACCACTTAAAGTTCAGGTGACTGTTTCTATTTGACCAGTTAGTAGGCAATAGAGATTGTTCCCTGATGGAAATAAAATCTAATGCTATATGTTTTAACTAGTAGATTTAAATGGACAATGAGATATTATTAATGAATGAACTGGCTGTTCCACAGTAAGATGTCTGACTCAGTGAAAAAAGTCATGAGACTTGAAATTTTTGTCAGAAAACCAGATAAATCATTCTGTTCTGGTAAGCAAATGTTGCTAAGACAGCTTAAAGGCCTGTCGCCTCCAGATCCATGAGAATCACAAATTCTGAAGAATTTGCAATATAGTAGGTCTTAAGGAAAACATCTACAAATCTGGTGAATCATATTCTACGCTAAGAAGAGTCTGAGAGTAGATATCAAACTGGGGCCAAGTACTGTGTTTTAGTGGGTGACACTGTGGGTAGTTCCCAGGAGGTCACAGTTCTTTCATAATATCATCTGCAAAAGATTGAGAAGCTCTCCTGATAGAGCTGATATCTCCTTCTCAACTAACACTTGATGGCTTTGTCAACTGTTAATTTATCTAAATTCTGGATTACCATCCTTCTGGATTCATTCAATTCAGTACTGGGGATTATGCCCAGGGAAAAATAACCAAAGGTGGAAGAATCAAAAGAGCTGAAATGTAAAATCTCTGTAATGCTGCTTTGGGTTCCAGCTACCTGCTATAGGACATATCCTGGGTACTGCAACATAGAAGGAAGGACATCTTCCAATCTCTACCCACTCACCTGAAGAATCCATTCTTACTATAAGGGAAATGTCTGGTAAAAAGACTAGAATTCCTACTACTAAAAGGAATGTGTGTTTGGAGCATTGTAACCTGGTTATAAACGAGGATTGAGTTTTATGACATATGGGACTTTTTATAAATTCCTATTTTACCCAGGAGGAAATTACAACTCAAAGATGATAAAGGTCTCAAAGTTCATAGTAGCCTAGTATTCAAACCTGGATTTAGCTGGCTCCAAAGCCAGTACTTTTTCCACAATATCAGGTGTTTCTCTGCCTGACTCATTCACTTCTTGTTTTCTAAAATTTGGCAGGTTTCTATGCCTATATTTAAGATTGCCATCTAAAGAGTAATATTATCAGACCTCAGATAAATAAAGAGTACATGTTTGAGGTGGTAAATGAAGCATAGGCAGAAAATTAAAGAGCCTTCCACTAAAAGCCCATAGCTCTGTCTAAACAGTTGAAATAAAATATTTGTGGAGATGGGGAAAACCAAATCAATTTGTAAAATCCAAGAAAATAGATCAGTATTTTGACTGTGTAAACTAGATAATCACAACTTCCCACACCCATTTCATTCCATAGCATATGCTTAGTATATATATTTAATTAGGTAACTATTAGGTAAATAATTAGTCAAGTAACTAATTAATTTGGTAACTAAAGAAAAGATACAACATTGTATTAGTTTTCTATGGTTGCTGTAACAAATAACCACAAATCTACTGGCATAAAACAACAGAAATTCATTGTCTTATAGTTCTAGAGGGCAGATGTCCAAACTCAAGTCTAACTGGGCAAAATTCAAGGTGTCAGCAGGACTTCCTCTTTGGAGGGTCTAGTGGAGAATGTGTCTGTTTCCTTGCCCTTTCCAGCTTCTAGAGCTGAATTCCTTGTATTCGAGACTTGTGGCCCTTTCCTCCATCTTCCAAGGCAGCAACAAAGCATCATCTTGCTTCAGTCATCACCTTGCCTTCTATTCTGTTCTGCAGTCAAATCTCCCTCTGCTGCTCTCTCATAAGGACACTTGTGATTGCATGTAAGGCCCACCTAGATAATTCAGGATAATCTCTCCATTTCAAGATCCTCAATTTAATCACATCTGCAAAGTTCCTTCTGCCATATAAAGTAATATTCACAGGTTCCAGGGGTTAGGACCTACCTGGATATATTTGAAAGACATTATTCAGCTTGTTCCAGGCATTCATAAAGAGTCTATCTGTATTAGTATATACTGGACAATTGAAGCAGTTATCCAGATATTTTAAGCAAATGTCTGGATATTTTTAAGGGCATGGTAATAATGTTTATTGTTTACTCTGTGACAGGCACAACTCTAACTGTTTCACATACATTGTACAGGTGAATAGCGACAAAACAAATTATGAGATAGGTTCATTGTTATTCCCATTTTATGGATGGGGAAACTGAGGCACACAAAGTGAGATTACTAATTTATCCAAGGTCACAACTACTTCTCTAAATTAGCCAGATTAAACATTTGCATAAATTACCAAACTTATTTCTTCTTCTTGAATAAAAAAAAATTTTTAAATGTCATTTCATATTGTCCATGAGATTATTTCAGTACAGTATGTAGTTTATGGACTTACAGCAGCAACATGTTCTTTGTATCAAAGTTATTTTCAGACAAAATTTACTTTCCTTGCTTTGGTATCCTTACTTGGGATGGTTTCTAAACAATAAACCCACTAGTGTCTCATTCCTCTACCAGTAATGATAGTCCTAATTTTACTTCCTGAGCACCTTTCTTTCCTCCAAAGGCTGCAAAGTTCAGGATAGAGTTACATAGTAATAGAAAGCAATTTCTCTTACAAAAGAGGCATGAGAGAGATAGCAGGCCTTGGCATATGCTCCGTTTCTGCTGTTACCCAATAATTGCTTGCTTTCATTTGGTCTTCTCTGAATGTGCTCCTCATAACTTTTAAAACTTCTTTTCATACTCTTGTTTTCAATGGTCCCATAAAGGCTTACCAATGGAAACCTGTTTCCTTTATCCGTATATGTCATCTATGTCCTCATTTTTCTTTGTCCCAGAGACAGGAGAGTGAACAAAAACAGCTCTGTTGTTTAAGATCTTTTACACACATTCCTTAATCTTTGGAGCTTTCTCTAAATCTGTTATATGATGGTGTATGGGGAAAGAGAAGATCCTTTTATTAAAAAAAATTATTCCGGAGTTCTGAAGAAGACATTTTAAATCATAGGAAAGTTGTAGAATTTGAAGATGCAACAAAAAGTTAAGTTTGGTCCCAAATCCATTGGCAGAGATTATGGGTTTTATATTGTTTATGGATAGATTTCAAATTCCCTCAAGCATGCACAATTTGTTGTATCACTGAATTATTTCCTTCTAACATTATCAGGTTATATCAAGTTATAGAATTGTTCTGGGCCCTTGAACTTAACTAAATGGAAGGACCCTACTAGGGAGAGTTTCATATGCTTTACAAAAGAAGGGTTATCAGCAGACTCTGGCCTTTCGACCCATGATACTGTTAGTGGTTTATTACATTTCTCTCAGTCTCAAAGACATAAATATATCATGGTAATGTTATGCATACAGGAGATAGCCAAGAAATAACACCTTAATAAAATGGTAACTAGTTGGCTGTGGTGATTGGTCAAGTCATGTTCAAATGAAACCTATAGGAAAAGGTTGATTTAATTTTTTTTAACTATGAACAACACTGAAAGCAGATGATATTGAGAGCCAGTAAAGTCAACAGATCCATGAAGTTTAGAGATGAATTAATACAATGGTAGAAATCCATGAGATAATTAGAGAACCAAGACACATTATACTTTAGGCTTATTTCAGCTTGCAGGAAGGCACTTATTTTAATAGAGCTGGAGAATTACAGATTATATAAACACACACAAAAGAGAGAAAAAAACTGAGAGCATTATTCTTATTTTCTAAGTTTAGGGTGATCTGTAAAGCTTTTTAATTAAAAAGTTAATGAAGAAGAAACATCTGAAACAGAACAGGAAGCAGGTTCCTCAAGTGACATAGCAGTTTTCAGTAGCATCAACTGTTGCAGTGAAAACAAAGATTTCTAATCTTAGAACTTGGCAGGTGAGTAAGTAACAGATTTCCCAATATAATGTTTTGATTTTCGAGAAATAAATGGATTTGTGATTTTTTCTCTTTTGCTTGTTTCACATTCTTTCACATATTTTAGTAATCACTGGGATATCGATTACAAATATTTTTAATTAAAATAATTATTGGTTCTCTATTAACTGAACAGTTTCCTAGATCTTTTGCCTCTTTGAGGATCTGTAAGGTAGTTTAAGTCTGCGAAAGCATGTTTGTCCTTTAAATACATTGATATGAAGATGTACATAAGCCTGTGCATGTTTATGTTTAAAATGGAAGAGAGGACCTAATTAAGAGGTCAAGGTTTTTAGTAGTAGAGTTTCTTTTTGAATGTTATTGGCTGGTCAACTTATTAATTTCTCTCTCAAATTTTTGATTTTACTGATTGTGAATGTTGGGAAGAAGGTGCAGAGTTGTTTGAGCTATTTTTATGCACTGCAGCATATCATCTTAGGTTTCTTTCAGAGCAATGAATGTTATATTAATGAGGGCTGTTGTCAATGCAATCCCAATAAAACTGCCAATTAAAACAAGAAAAGGTATTTCTAGAGAATTTTTAAACATAAATTAGACAAGTAATTGGCCTATATAAAAATACATTAAAAATAAATTCCTCATTAATAAAATGCTTTTGAACAGACTGGATTCCATGTAAACATTTTGTTCTTCCTTATAGTCTCTACACAAGCCTTACAAATATTTCCGTAATCACTTGTCACTGCAAGGAACCATGTGGGCATCAGGAATAATAACAACTATAAATTTACTGTCCAAATATATACATCCTGAGGTGAGGGCAGGTAGGGAAAATACTGAGCAATTCAATTTTTGAAAATTATTTGCAAGACTGCTATAACACACTTTGCAGAATGAAAACAGATGGTCTTTAGGATTTGCATTATATTGACAGGGAAATTATAACCCAGAACACTAAGGGTATTTTTTACTATGATGGCAGAGGGACCCAAGCCAGCATCTCAGAGAATATGGTACTTTCCCCCGACAAAGTAAATTGTGAAAATGCCAGATTTCCACGATATTACATCTTGCAGGATAGAATCATCTAACTTAGTAAATGCTTTTAGTTGTCTTTCTTCAGTGGGTCAGAGCCCGTTACTTACTGTACATTATTTTAAAAATAACAGCATAGTTTGTTGTGAAGTATTTTATGCCTGAAACTCTTAAATACTTTCAAACATCAGTTTATTTGCTCTTAATGATTAACATAGATTTTTAAATCACTGGTAAAAGTTTTTCATGACACATTTGGTTGAGATTATCTTAATTTTTAGGAATAATATAAAAATAACCACACCTCTGGTTATGATTAATATTAAGCCAGTTTGGTATGCATAAACTTGGTAATCCTCTAAAAACTCTTAAACTCCTATAGACTCGGTATCTTGATTTAAGCAAGACTATTTTTTCCTTCTCTTTAGAAGAAAAAATATTACTTCTCTAAAACTACCACTTTTCCTTAGAGATCACTTAAGTCTTTTATCCATTCTTGTTCAGACAAAACATAAGTGCTCCTACCTTAGCACGTATACTATTTTTTTATTTTTATTTATTTATTTGTTTTTGAGACAGATTTTCCCGTCACCCAACCTGGAGTACAGTGGTATAATCACGGCTCACTGCTGCCTCAACCTCCTGGGCTCAAGCAATCCTCCCACGTCAGCATCTCGAGTAGCTGGGACCACAGATGCCACCATACCTGGCTATTTTTTTATATTTTTATGTTTTTGTAGAGATGGGAGTCTTGCTATGTTGCCTAGGCTGGTCTCAAACTCATGGGCTCAAGCCGTCATCCCATCTCGGCCTCCCCAGATGCTGGGATAACAGGTGTGAGACACCATGGCCAGCCAATCTGTATCCTAATTGTGGACCCTACGTTAAGAAGTCTTGCTTAAAATATTCATTAAAACTTTCTGATAGTCTCTCCATGCTTTGTTTTAAGAGTACCAAGCTTATCTTTTTTTAAATAAGTTTTACAACACAGAGATGGTCAGCCCACCTCACAATCTTTGTCATCATCATCGCCATCGTAATCAATACCATAGCCACATGATCTCCTACTGTTTTGCCCCAGCTGACACTCCACCCAATACCTATGCCAGTGATAAGCTGAGTCATCGTGTTGTAACTGCATGTCATGAATTACAATTTGTGACTCATCTTCTTCACTTATCTACCCAACAAACATGTTCAAATGAGCCACCTCATTTTTTCTTTCATACCAATATGATCTCTCTCACAATTGCATCCCCAATTACTATACTTCTTAGTGTTCTTCACAGGAATTCAAAATGTGGTTTCTGAAACATTTAATATAAATAGCTAAAAGACTCTCACAATCATATTCAGCAACAAGACAAGTTGTTGAAGTAAAATAATTTCCTAAAAGAATAAGAAATGCAGCCTAATCTTGCTTACATTAATTACATTTAATGTCTATGCTATTCATTCTTATACCCAACAAATATCTTTAAACATTTTCTATGTACCAGGTAAACAAACAAGAACTGGCCATATAGTAATAAGGAGGTGTGTAGGTTATTCTGTTTGCCCTCCCAAGACCCATCCTTCATCCTCTGCCTTGTTCTCTGCCCCAAGGGCTGATCTCTGTAAACTGCATTAAAAAGCTCCCTTACCGTCTAACTTTGTGTGGGATTCAGCCAGCGGGACGCACTGGCAGGAGATGGCAGTGTGGATGAAGAAGAGATGAGTCTACTTCTTCACTCGTGATTTCCCTTTCTTGGTGCACTATTGTGGTGGTGGCTGTATTCCCCCTATTACTAGAGCTCCTATTGACTGACCCCATTTTCTATTACCCCAGCCTCTGAAAAGATCTAATGATACCATTTTCTCTCCCTGCTTATTCAGACCTATTGATGCTATTGCTTTCCTATGTTGCTAGTTTGTGGAAATTTCAACATTCCTGATAATTCCTTAGTTTCCCACAGCACTATGAAAAGTCCCTTCATTCAATATCTTTCAAATCTGTCTCCTGCCACTAGACTGACTGGTACAATAGAACTGGACATTCTTTGCTTTCATGAAACTGACAATATACTCAAGAATACAGACATTTAATAAATTATAACCACAAAGTGTAACGTGCTATGGCACCAGATAAAAGGGTATCTTACCCAGCCTGAGATAACTGAAGAAAGTTTGTTGTGTGAGATATTAATGATCATACATCTGAAAGTAGAGAGGCAAGTATGTGTTTATTTATGTTTTGGCAAATAGGGTCCTCTGTGTCTTTGCATCAAGAAGTCTGTGAACTAAAACATTAAAAAGAAAAAATGTGCGATGTATTTTATCTGTGAGGATAAGGTAAATTTTGCCTAATTCAATTTTACAGTTAATTCTCCTTTACAGTTTGCCTAATTCAATTTCACAGTTAATTCTCTCCTAACACCCTTAGAAGCCACTTCTACACATGCTTGCTAGGTTGCTGCCCATACAAACTGGCAAGACTCTTTAGTCCCTGAGATAACTCAGCGACCTCTAAAGTCTCAGTGGTTTGCAACAAAAAAGGTTTACTTTTGTATAACTGCTAAACACAATAAAATTTTAATCTATCTGGTTCCACCAAAAAGGCAAAGCCAATGAATAGAAATTTTACTGATGAAATGAAAGCTCAAAGTGATTGTAATTAAAATGTTTAATCAAATTCTAACATATTACTATAATTGCAATAAAATTTTCAAAGTTTAAATTCTCTTTTTATAGGCTGGTTTTTTAAGTTCTTCTTGCAAATTGCTCTACTTCAGAGGAAAATGGGTTTTCCACTTAAATAAAGTAATTTATTCAACTATTCCTGTTGCCATTGAGTTGCCACTTAGAATTTAGTTTGTTGGACTTTTGAATACATCTAATTACTCAGAAATAGCAGCTGAGTAGAGAAGGCTAAAGAGAGAATGAATAGAGAAGGCTATTCATGAGCTTTTACCAGAGCCATGAGATATTGCTATGAATGATTGCAGGCTATATATGTTCTATGATGAAAAAAAATGACAGATGGGCATGATGTTCATGATGCTTCCAATATTTTCAAAGCTGTAGCCGACCAGTTTCAAATGATTGATTTAGAGTCCAGAACATTTATATGTTTGGACAATATTTGAGGAATAAAAATAGGTGTAACATTGGGCCTGATGTCATCATATTTTAAGCTCATTTTACAGAGAAGTTCTTGATGAAGAGAAATCAGTGGTTGAATATGTATGTATGTATTCCCTACTTTTCTTGCAAAATGTTCTTTTCCAACGAGATTCTCAAAGGAAGGCTTTTTTTTTCTTTTTTAATGGATTATTATTACAGTGCTAGAAATTCAGAATGTGAGAGCATATGCCATTTCTTTTTAAAAATTGCAGGGTAGACAGTTTTATGATCCTGAAATTTATAATCCAGCTTGAATGTCAGGAAACCTGGGTTCTAGTCCCAGTGCTGCCACTAACATCCTGTGTAGCCAAGCACTAATTAACTGATATATCTGTGTTTCTGTTCTTTCATTTGTAAATTGAAAAGAAAATATTTTCTTCAATCTACTTCACAGGAATATTAGGAAAAACAAAACAAAACTTGTTAAAGCACTGGTAGCTTTTCAAAAAAAAGATGATCTGTAAATCCAACTTACAATTACACAACACTATATATCCCACCAGACCTCAGACATCTTCTTAAATCAGATGAACAGTGAGTTAAATTATTTAAAAAGACTCTAGAAAAAAACTTTTCAGGTAGGAATACTAAAAATATCAATTTATCATTTTTAAATACTCTAAAGTTATTCTACGATGCAATACTATAGAAAAGATATCTGGCAATGGAAACTGGAATTGGATGCAGAAAGTCTTATATTCAATACACTAAGTGACAATGAAATTCAAAAAGATCTTCACCATCCATCTCCAAACTACTGAGACACCTTAACAGTAGAATGTATAGGACTCTGGCTACTAATTGGGGGAAGAAAGTGAACGAAGGAAAGTTAACAATTACTTTAGAGACCAGATTGGTGGAGGGTGATGTCCTTAAAAAACAAGAAATTGGTGGAAGAATGAATTGGGGTGACAAGGGCAGGAAGGTGGCGTGATGAGATATTGACCTCAGTTTTGAATGCACTGGACAGGCATGTGTCCAGTGTTCTTTAAGTTATATTACAGTCATATTTTGGAGGTGCTTTACCATGTTAGCTAGAATTTAGAGACCCTAATATGTTTAATAAAGACTTCAAAAAATCTATATTCTTCACTATACAATAGTTAAACTGAATGAGATAAATCTATACGGAGTGGTACTACAGAATAATGTCCTAGATATATGTGGAAAAACAAAGTACAGAACAGTGAATATAGTATGCTCCCCTCAGTAGAAAATAAAAGTGATATATGCTTATATATTCATAAACTCATCCTGGAAAGATACAGAAAAATGGGTAATGTGCTGCCTCACAGGAAGAGACCTGGGGGACTGAAGTTCTAAGGCGGGAAAAGACTAATTTTATTCCTTGCTCTGAAATCTACATTGTCTGATATGCATATAGCCACTCTAGCTTTCTTTTGAGTAGTATTTGCATAGTATTTATCTTTTTTTCTATCCTTTTACTTTTAATCTGCCTGTGTCTTGATATTTAAAGTGAGTTTCTTATAGACAGGGTATGGTTGGAACTTCCTTTCTTGTTCAGTGTTTCAATATGAATTTTAAGTGTTAAGATATTTACATTTAATGTGATTATTGATGTTGGGTTTAAATCTATCATCTTGGTATTTGTTTTTTGTCTCGGTTTTTCTTCCTCTTTTTTTCTGACTTCTTTTAGGCTATTTTTATATGATTCCATATAAATCGCCTTTTTGATTTTGATATAGTTACATATAAATGTCCTTTTTGAGTATTTTCATTTTCATTTATTTATTTCTGAGACAGGGTCTTGCTCTGTCACCCAGGCTGGAGTTCAGTGGCACGATCTTGGCTCACTGCAACCTGGGTTCAAGCAGTTCTTTCTGCCTCAGCCTCCTGAGTAGCTGGGTTTACAGGCACATGCCACCATGCCTGGCTAATTTTTGTATTTTCAGTAGAGACGGGGTTTACCCATGTTGGCCAGGCTGATCTTGAACCCATGACTTCAGGTGATCCACCCACTTTGGCCTCCCAAAGTACTGGGATTACAGGCATGAGCCACCATGCCTGGCCCTTTTTGAGTATTTTTATACGATTCCATATAATCTTTCCTTTATTTCCTTTATGACTTATTAATGATAACTCATTGTTTTTTAATTTTTTGTTTGCTTCAGAATTTGCATATGACAGCTGCTATGATCAGTGTATTTATATATATTTAATCCTCATCTAATTAGGAGGTATAAGTAACCCTATTGTACAGATGAAGAAAAAACATCTTGCTGAAATTACAAGTTAATGTCTCAGAAACAGAATTCAAACTCAGATTTGTCTGACTCCAAAACGTACTTTGTAGTACTAGGGATATACTGGAAAAGCCCTTCAGCCTTTTATATAGTCAATTGTCTGTAAAAAGGACACAGTCCAAACAATGAACTGTTAACATATTTTACATTATTGAATATATACATGGAGACTGTAAAGAGGTAAAAGCTCTAAAAATAATGGATTCACAGAACTTGAAAATAAAGTCAAGACTGTGGTCTCTCTCTGAAACTGAATAGAGTAAAACAGACGATGAAGAAATGAGCTATTTGCAGAGGTAATAACTTACCCTTAAGGTAAAATTTCAAATATCTTTTTTTTTTTTTTTTTTGAGACAGAGTCTTGCTTTGTCACCCAGGCTGGAGTGCTGTGGCACAACCATAGCTCACTGCAGCCTTGACCTCCTGAACTCAAGCAATCTTCCCACTTCACCCTCCCAAGTAGCTGGAACTACAGGCACATGCCACCACATGTCGCTAATGTTTTTTTTTTTTTGGTAGAGACAGGGTCTCACTGTGTTGCCCAGGCAGGTCTCAAACTCCTAGGCTCAAGCAATCCTCCCACCTTGGCCTCCCAAAGTGCTGGGATTATAGGCATAAGCCACCATTCCTGGCCTTAAAATATCTGATAACATTGGATCCACATTTGCACAGAGCAGCTGGAGCCAAGTGACGAGTGAGTAGTGGTTTGCCACAGTTCTCGCCATTTCAAATTGTCTTATACCAAGCCATCTCCCTCACTTATGTTATCTGCCTACTTCCTAAAGCTTTTGAATTTGTCATTATCCATTATGGAATAAAGAAAAAGATTTCTAAAAGAGATAGAATGACTCTCAGGTCTATAATGTTTAGCAATTATCCCATATATCGATTCATGTAATACAACACAACAATTTGAGTCTTTCACAAAAAAAGAGTTGATCAGCTTGGAAGTACAGAAAAAGGAGATTTAAGAGGTCAGTGATGGTAATTCCCTTCCAAACATATCTTAGGATATTTAGTCAAAATAACCAGCTGTCCATTTCAATGGAAGATATAGTATAGCGGTTAAGAGCTAGACTGCCTAGGTTTGAATACTGGTACTGGCACTTACTAGCTTTAGGATTTTTGGCAGTCCATTTAACGTCTTTGTGCACAGTTTCCTCATGTGCAAATGAGGATAATAATATATCCTACTTCATAAATTTGCTGTGGCATTTAAAAGAGTGACTGGCCCATGGTAAGCTGTAATTATTAATATAAATACATCAGATACTCATAACCTGATGCCCTAAAATTTATGACCCAAATAACCACTTAATTCCTTTTTTCTTAAATCCTTACCAGGCAACTTCTGATGGCTTCCTGTATGGCATGACTTTAAGCAGAATGAATTTAAATCCTTTCAAGGTTTCTGAGGAGTAACCACCTGTAGCATTCTTGATTTGATTATCTGAGTCTTTATCAATCAGTATATCGAGATGTGCTGCCAAGAAAGCAGAATTCAGTGACAGCTTGCAGCTTTTATTACCAGCAACAGTGTTTGGCTATGGAGAGTTTTCCTTAAGTAAATTGGCAAAGGATGGAGGTTTTTTGAGGCTGATTTTCTGTTCACCTATTTTGCTGGCCCTACAAGCTAATCCATAGTTACTCATATGTAACAGTCTCAGACTGTAGGAAGTAAGCTCACAATGCCTTTGAAAAGTGAATCTTGAGCAAGTCATTTTAATATATTGCAAAAAGAATTACTTTAGACTGCACTAATCAAAAGAAAAAAGTCTTTTAATTTATTGACATTTACTGGGCTGAAGTTGCCTTTACACTATCCATGTGGAAAATTATGAATGTAGGGGTCTTGGTAAATGAACTGTCCTTAAAATTTGAGCAAATTACATGTAGGCAAATAAATACTACTAGTTAAAAATGTTTCCTCTATTAACTTATAGTAAAACCCTTAGCCAGGATTCAATATCAGTATGTTAGTATGCTCAAGATTAGAATATTTGTTTGGAAGTAAATTAAGGCATTTCCTTAAAAACAGTATTGTTTATAATTTAGACTTTCACAAATTTAGGTAGGTTCTCCTTCAAGTACTATTCTAAGTTTGAATAACTCTTTATTCTACATTTCTTACTCCAGCAGGGCGCTGCAAATGTTCCCGCTCCTCATATGATTTTGTGAGAGTCACTGTCTTGCTCTGGCAGCCTTACAAGTGTTCCACTCAGATCTCTCCTCAAAAGCACCTGCTGTGGAGAGCGCAGCTGACTGACAGCCTTCAGCTGCCACACCTTTGGATCCACTGTGGAGTTCGTGATAAGCCACGCTTCCCCTGGCTGCTTCCAGGCTTTGATTGAGCAGGTACTAGAACCTGGCCTTTCCTGTCTGCAAAGATTTAGCTGGCACCACTAGCAGAATGCCTCTCTAGTCACAGAATCCCACCTAGCAGAGCATCCACAAGAAAACTTACTTTATAGAAAAGGAGGTACAGGAATAGGCCATGTCCATGAGGTCTAATTGTTTTATCATATACTGCACTATTTAGGTGAAGTTGGCCTCATAGAGTACTGGAAAAGCCTACTTAAGTCACAGCGAAATCAGCAGCTCAGAGACAATAATCTGCAAGGATGGCATGACATCTCTCAGTATTTAGTATAGGCACTAATCAGAGATTTCTACATGGCACTGTGTCTCTAGTACGGCAAATACATGGATCTAGGAACCAAAAGGTGAAATCACAAATGGCTTTATTTAAAATCACTCCTAATAACCCACTGGAGAACTCTGTGCTTCACTTTCCCCAACTCTGGGTTGAGTAGAATTACAGGTTTTCTCTCTTGCAAAGGGGTAGAGCGGGAATCCATTGAACTATAAGCTATGTATAGCACGACACTTTTGGCTCTTTGCAGCCAGGGGCCAGCAAGCAAGGATAATTGATTAGTATGAGGAGGTGGGGCCACCTTTACACCTTGGGGACAGGGAGAAATACACATGTGAAACTCAGATGATCCACTTGGGTGCCTCTTGGTATGCCCTTACCTAGTTCTAACTGTGAATGGACACAAACTGCAGTCACGGACTGAGAAGAGTATGATGACAAAAGCCCAAGACCACTTAGGAGTGAATGTTTAGGTCATGCCACCAAGTAAGTCAACAAGATCTGCTGAAGTGAGAGCTGAGAGTGATGGGAATATAGAGTGGATAGTGTAGGACAGGGTAAGTACTAGTGTGGTCCCAGACCACCTGTGATGATAGTTTGTCCTATTAACTTCCCTTTCCTAAGTTTTTAGAGAGGTTTACAGAAATCATGAAGCGACACCATGAATGTTATTATGAATTGATTTACAGTCTCCGCCTACTGCACTTTTGGATTCACCACTGAGTTTGCACCGGACTAAGTTTTTCCTGCACTGCTCTCAGACAGTTACTGAGCACAGCAGATCCTGACCAATTTGGAATTCCTCTAATGAACAACTTTGGCTTAGGACTCCCCATTGACCTGGCTGAGTCTCTCAGAATGACATTACAAACAGGTTCTTTCAACCTATTCTTCCTTCCCATTCTGCTTTTTCAGATTTCGACTCCCCTGCATTCCAATCGGAGTCTCCCTGCCTTCTCTTGCTGGTCTCCCTTTGTCCTTCACAGGCATTTTCTCTTATCTCCTGCACATGTAATCCCGTCTTGGCATCTGCTTCTCAGAAACCTGTAATTGACAAACTGGGTGTTGCTTTTAAATTTCGGCAAAAGAAAATGACACCCACAAAGGTGACTACAATGAATTAAGAAAGATTCTCAATGGGAAAAGTTAGAGCATGGCCTAATCTCTAGTTTTTAACAAGTTTTTCAGGGGTCAATAATTAATCTGGTTTTGTTCAGTTAGCTATAAAAAAAAAGAACTTCAAAAATATGTATGACTCTAAGAATAACTTTGATGGCTGGGTCAAGACCAATCTGACATATATTAATTTCGGAAATACCAATATGTCTATTGAACCAAAATGAATTGAACCTACCATTTTTATGGTGGCCTTGATAGGACATTCAAGCACAGAGCCTTGTGTGGTAATGCTGAGAGAAAGGCACTAATGTGAGGAAATATAAAAATTTTTAAGAAAATACACGTTGCAGTGTTACATTAGGCAACCAGAAACATTCATTAATTTAAATAATTCTGGTAGAAAGTTTTAAAAGGAGGGAATAGGTGCTGAGAGAAATTTTGTTCAAGGGGTCAAAAGGACCTGGAGGAGAGATACCACAGGTGCTAGAAAGAATCGAGTGGGGAAAGCAACACCATCAAGCTAAAAACTGGGTGACCTTGGAGAACGGCCTCAACATATTTCCTAACATACAGTTTAATGCCAGGATATACACACTGTAATAAACCTGTTTGTTGAGGATGTCTTAAAATGAAGCCTACAGAGCGCAAAGAGAAACAAAAAAATAATCCTAAAGATGTAGTTTTAGGAAGGTAGCCTTAGAATCTTCTCTCTTTATCCCTCCTGGGAAGTGGCAAGGAAAAGATATCCCTTGGTGGAAAAGATAATCCATTGGCATCTTTGGGAGTGCCTATTTTATCAAAATCATTCATCATGTTCATTACTGCTATTTCACACAATCTCCTGAAAAATGATGTCAAGTAGCCACAGTAACCTGCCTTATTTTGAAATTCCTCATTTTGGTTTTCCATGACCCTGGATAAACTGGCCTCATCCTATTTATTCAACTTATTTTTTCTTCTTTCCCATATACCTTCCAAATTAGTCAAGCTAGTCTACCCCCTGTTGTTCAACACACCACGCTCATTCTTGCCTTGCTTTGTTTGGAAGTTCCGCCCATTCCTGTTCAATTCTACTCATCTTTCAAGTCCCATCCTCATTCCAGCCATTACCCTGTGAGTTTGACTCATGGGACTCTTGCCATACACATTACATAACTTGTTACTTTCAAAATGTGTTATCTTGGATTACTGTTATAGGATTTATTAAAAAAATAATTTTAGGCAGATAGGAAAAGGGGTCCTTGGAAAGTTTTTGTCTCTTTTAAAGCAGCTCCAGAAATGTTTCTTGTCTAGCAGGAAAGCCCCTGCTCTTAGAGCCCGGCTGGCGACCTTTGATATGCAAATGCAGGCCATTAGAAACTGGGTCCACACAAACATGGCGATAGCCACCGCTGTCCTCTTGCCCTTGCCCCTGTATGTGTCTGGCAACATGGCCATCCCCACATATCGCCACACGTGTAGAACATCAAGGCGACCTGCATTTGCATATTAAAAGGCTAGGGTGGGAGAGCCAGGTTTTTCGTGGGCTATGTGAATGACATGCCTGGTCAAACCAATCCCCTGAGCCCTATGCAAATCTGACACCGCCTCTTCCAGTCTCCTCATATAACTGCCTGTTAACCCCAGCACTGGGGGTTTCCTCTCTAGGCTTTGGAGCCCACTTCCATGTGTCTCTACAGGGGAGCTTCTTCCTTTCTTCACCCTTCTTTCTTGCCTATTAAATTCTCCACCCCTTAAAACCACTCCATGTGTGTCTGTGTCATTTTACCCAATTCGGCATGAGACGAGAGCCCTGGTGCTTCTTCCACTCATTGGAGCTGTATCATTTTAAGTGTGTTTCACGTATTTATCTCCTCCAATTAGACTGCAAACTTCTTAAATACTTGACTCATTTGGTAAATATTCATAACTGCAAAATCTTAAAGCTGTATGATTCTAGACGCTAAAACTGATATGTAGACTGTCACTGCTCTAGTCACCCCTACTATTAGAGTTGAGAATGTCAAAATAAAATTGAATGCTTACTATGTACCTGGCATAATTTTAAGTTCCCTACATATATTAACTTACTTAATTCATGCCTTTGGCATCATCCCTCATGACTTTCTTTCTCTTGTATCCCATATCGAATTTGATTCTATTGGCTCTATCTTCAAAATAGAGCTGGAATC
The DNA here is from genome assembly GCF_000001405.40 of Homo sapiens. NCBI lineage: Eukaryota > Metazoa > Chordata > Mammalia > Primates > Hominidae > Homo > Homo sapiens. The sequence continues at coordinate 35,547,445 of NC_000015.10, read as the reverse complement.
CTCTTACTTCTCACCAAATTCACCATGTTGATTCTAGGCTCCGCCATCTCTCTACTGGAACACTGTAACAGCTTCCTAATAGGTGGATTCTCAACACTGCAATCCTTTTAAAATTTTAAGTCACACCCTTCAAAAGTCTGCAATTACCTACAAGACCCTATATAATCCTTCCCCTCCATCACCTTAACCTGCTCTCCACTACTCTCTGCTTTGCTCAATCTGCTCCAGCAACACGGATCTGCCTTAATCTTCCACAAACACACAACGCACCTAGAGCCTTCGATTTTTTTTTCTTGTCTGGAGCACACCCCAATCATACACATAGCGAACTCTCCTTATTTAAATTGGCTCAACTCTCATCTTACCAATAAGGCCTACATAGACACGATTTAATTCTGCAATTTGCCTCTCCACCTCTCTCCTGACTCTCCCCCACCGCACCCCGCCCCTTTCCAATAGCACTTTTCACTCTTCAACAGACTATTTACCTTTAAGATATGTATTGTCTGTTCTCTCCATCCCCATTTAAGCTCTATGCCCGGAATGCCGGGTTTTTGTTTTATTTACGGTTGTATCCACAGAGTCTAAAACAGTGCCTGGTACACGAAAGGCACTCAATACATACTTGGCAAATAAACTTAGAAGCTAGATTTTCTTTCTGCAAGGCCATTGCTCTTTGGTGAAGAGCCTGGCCTGGCCTTGTCAAATACACAAGCTTGACCAAGAGCCAAAGCCACAGAGGGCCTAGAGGTGGGGGGGGCTAGCCCCAGATTTAAAAATTACCACAGCCCCTGGGGATCTGAGTTTCACATCTGGACACACAGGTTTGGAGGACAGAGGAGATGTAAGTTAAAAAGCAGAAGTGTACAGTTGTTTCTGTTCTGTGGGGTGAGGAAGGACAAATTTCTTCTGCGCTTGCACGTCCGCAACTGTGTCAATTTGCAGCAATTGGGACGCTAAATCCCCTCTTACCAAAACAAATCCTGCGCCACTGGGCTTGGGCTCTGCAACGCGGACCTTGCCCTTCCCCCGGCAGCTTCAGTGCCCTCACTTAGGTGGTTAGGCCGTGCCTAAACCTCATTCTTTCCTGGGCCGAGATGTCCCTGCCACAGGGTCAAGGTGCCAAGGTGCCGCACCCTCCGCGCTCAGGTGTCCCGCAGGCAGCCGCGGGGCTCGCAGCGCCGATCCGCGGACAGGCGGCGGAGCGAACACCCGGGCGAGGCCCCGCGGTGCGTCACGCGAGCTGCGGCGCGACCTCCTGGCTCCCGCCCGCGCTCGCCGCACGCACGCGCACTGCGCCCAGCATGAGGGTCGCGGCTCTGATCAGGTAATGCGGTCCTGGAGCCGCCTCCTTCCTCCTAGGCCAGGCTCTCGTCCCTTCCAGCCGCCGCTAGCGCCGAAAGAGTGGGTGTCTCCGTCTGAGTCGCGCGTTGGGGGTTCCGCGGCTCCTCCGAGCCACAGGAAGAGGCGGAGCCTTCGCTGTTGCCGGCCCGCATGTGCCTCGGCCCCTGGCTGGCGCGCCTCCTCCCTGTCTGTCGCTCTCTGGTCTTCTAGCCCTTAAACTTGGATTCCCATTGGATTCAAGTGGGAAATTAAAAAAAGTACCGACGCCTGGGCCCCACCGCCAGAGGGATTGGTTTAATTACTTCTGTGCGACCCGGCGTCTGATTTTTTTTTTTCAAGCTCTAATGAGCCGTGAAGTTTGGAGCCACTACCTTATTCCATCAACTCAGTTAATAACCCTCGCCCTTTCCCCCTCGCTTTCTTCGTCCTCTTCTGTAGTTCCTTTGGTCAGCTGGGTCCGCCGCAGCCTGGCTTCCTCCCTAGTTGTAAGTGTTTCCGCCCATCCCAAGAAGTCCACCCCTCCCTCATCTTCACAGATGTGGATTGCTTATGGCATGTGTGTGTTTCTGCCTTTGGGCACTCAAGTACAGAGATCTCTCTTCGTGGTAGAGACCGAATTGTACTAGTCTTATGCTAGATCCAGTTGCTGTTGCTTCGGACTCTCATCATTGCTTTAGAGTGACCTTACCCTATACTCCGTATTCCAAAAGGAGTTTGATGTCTGTAGTAACCAAATCATAAATTTAAGTGTCTAAATAAGTCCTGTGACTGACAAACCAAAAACAAACCTGCTTAAATATTTCCATACTCAATCTATAAACTGAGGCAGAAGGGAACACACTAGCAACATTAAAAAGTTAGACTACTTAAATACTTGTTTCATGAGATTTTGCCCTGTAGAGTGTCTTAGATACAGTGCAACGATGTGCTTGCTTTTGTAATCCAATTGAAGATTTCATAAACGTTTTCGTTAAGTCCCTTAGGTAATTGATACTGGCTGTAAGTTTTGACCTATTAAGGACTTGATATGAGATTTCAGACCTACTGTAGTGTCTGGAATATTCCGGTTCCCTTTCCTTCAATGTCATTTTTAGGAGACTAGACCATAATGTCACAATAATTATTGTTGTTCAGTAAATGTCCTCTGTAACATAAATGATTAAGCTTTAACCATTGTGTCTTATTTTAAGAATTAAAAGTACCCCAGGAAGTGAATAATTCAAATTTACATCGCTTGCCAAAAGTTTAACGATTAAAGTAAAGCACAACAAACAAAGACTTAGAAGTATTGGAGGGGAGGAGAGAAGATTGGTAGAGTCAGTTACACTAAATAACCTGTAATGTGCATATGTTGCTTTATAATAAAAAAAGTTTGCTAAAAAAGCAATGTTGGAAAATTCTTGCTGAAGCGTAAGAGCTGTAAGGACATATGCTGTAAGTATGAATACGTAAGCATTTACCTGTATGCTTATGATACAGATGCCTATGTATTCTATATATATGCATTATATATAATTATGTATTATAAGTGAATAAGTGAAACTGGGATTCTTACATATCTTTCTAAGAAGATTATTTTCCTTTTTTAAATTTTTTTTTTATTATACTTTAAGTTCTGGGTTACATGTGCAGAACGTGCAGTTTTTTTACATAGGTATACATGTGCCACGGTGGTTTGCTGCACCCATCAACCCATCACCTACATTAGGTATTTCTCCTAATGTTATCCCTCCCCTAACCCCCAAACCCCCACAGGCCCCAGTGTGTGATGTGCCCCTCCCTGTGTCCATATGCTCTCATAGAACATTATTTTTCTAATAAATAAATGAGTCTTTGAATTTTATAGTTGAATGTTATTTTGAGGATTATCCAGGCAGACCATTCATTAATTTGCAATGAAGTATGCAAACCTAAGCACATTGAATAACTTAGCTTAGTATCCCAGAGTTGGAAACTAAAATAGAGCTGTGAGACCTCTCACCTAACATACATGTGTACTTAATGGAGTTCTAAGAGGACAGTAAGGTACTCTGCATTTCCCAAGCTTGTCTGATATTCAAAACCTTTTGTTAGAGTAATTGGTTAGTATTTTGTTGGACACCAGTGTTCCACAGAACACAGTTTGGTAAATACTGCTTAAAACCATATTTGAAATGTTGGCATATTTCAAAATAAATTGTCAGACTCAGTTCTGATTCTGGATGCACACCCTTCAGTCTTTAATATCTGAAACAATTAGTCATATCTTTTTATCCTGGGGAATCAGAGCAGTAAGGTTCGATATGGGAAGTTGTGGAAGACCTACTTATGGGGATACCGAACCTGAAGAGAGGAAGAATGGACTTTTTAAAACTTCACTTTGGCCCTTGTGCTCTCCTTCCACTTGAGAAGTTTTGGAATGAGAGTTGTTATTGATGGGAGGGTGGAAGAGGCAGAAATGTTGAAAACTAAGATAAAAGGCAACAAGGCCAGTTTCTGAGGTGCTCAGTTTCTTGAGCTATGAAGAGGTCTAAACATTGCCTGGGGATTTGCAGGCCTTAAGCAAATATTGGAAAGAAGGGAAACAGGAGGAAAAAGAAATGTAAAAGGGAGAGAGGCAATGATAAATGATAGTGGGAATTAGGAGAATATTAAATTACAATAGCATATAGATTGCCATTCAGCCATATTATAGATGAGCTACTGCTTGTCTTTACTAAGTGATATGCGTCTGCCTTAGGTAGATTTAGAACCAGAATTTAGAAGTTCCTTTCAATGTGTTACTACATTTATAGCTCAAGCCTAGTTCTGCTGCCATCATATATATATATATATATATATATATATATATATATATATATATTATGTGTATGTGTGTACTATATGTATGTGTAGAGATGGCTGAAGTGCTGATAGTGCTGATGTTTCACGTCATCAGTGTAAGTCAGCATCTTGTTTTTTATCTCTGCAGAATTTGAACCCACCAAGTGTGTCAAACTTTGTCATTAGCTAGGTACTCAAATCTTTAATTTGATCCTTTAATTGCTGATGGTAGCCATTTGTTAGATTTCTTATGGTGGAGCAGAATTTGTTTTTTTTTTTACTTTCTCATAGAGAATAGTTTTTTTTTTCCCAATAATTTCTATGAAATTATTTTATATATATATATATATATATTCCTTAAGTGGAATAATATATATTATATATATTCCTTAAGTGGAATAATATATATTATTATATATATTCCTTAGGTAGAATATATATATTTCATATATAATTATATAATAAATGTTTAGCTGGGATGTAAATTGAAATCATTTTCTATTTGCAAATCACTTCAAATATATTTGCTATCACAAAGCAAAAAGTTACCATATTTTGTTTAGAATATTCTTATATATATATAGTTTCTTAAGCTCCTGTGAGTAGCAGCCCTAGACATTCAGATTCGGTTGCTCAGTTTGTTTATGATTTAGAAATTAATGGGTTTTTTTTGCATTGTAATATATTCTGAAGAGTCAAGTAAATGATATGTTCTGTTTTGATATCTAGTGATTTTATGTTGAATAATGGTCAGTAGCATGATATTTGTCCCTCTCTTGATTTATTGTTTAGTGGTGGGAAGGACAGCTGCTATAATATGATGCAGTGCATTGCTGCTGGGCATCAGATCGTTGCTTTAGCAAATCTAAGACCAGCTGAAAACCAAGGTAAGTACATGCCTTTATTGGGAAGTTGCCTAAATGAATGAAATTCCAACTTCATAATTACATTGTACAGGTATACCGTACAAAGATGAAAAAAAAAGAACCAATAAATATTAAGCACCCATTAGATGCTAGTTTCCACCTAGAACTTAGCATTAAGTGTTTTCACTTACTTTTTAATTCTCATAACCAACTTCTATAGAGATGCACTATTAATCTTAATAGACAGGGATCCTGAAGCTTAGAGTTTGTCTGAAGTAAACTAGCACAAACTTGTAGAGTTAAGACTTGAACCTTCTTACTTCAAAGTACACTACCATTTTACCCCACCACATTCCCAAGTACTGTAGGCAGCATAGAGGTAGATAAGATACAGTCTCAGGCCTCAAGGAGCTTGAGAAGTAAGACACATATTGATAAATGATATATTAATTTTATTATTAAAAGGATACAGTTTACCTATTTTAGATGTAAGCCAGAAATGTGAGACTTGAGAGAAGCATAAAGCAATGCATTCCCACTTTTCATTTGTCTGTAGTAACAAGGGCATCCACATATAATTCACAGACCTCATATTGACTACTTTTTTCATTCTTTTCTCCAATGAAATATCCCCAATTATAGCTTTTGAAAAAAGAAATATATTCACCAATTTGCTTTTTAATGCTATTGTGTTATACCTATGAAACTACAGATATTAACTGCTAAAATGTAAGAGGGAAAAAAGATTAGCACTTTTGTGACTTTTGTATTACTGCTTCTCACAGGACTTTTCTAGTAAGATCTTTTTATTCTCTCTTTTACTTCTTTCCAGGCTCCATGTTTTTGCACTGTTATTTTAAGATTAATTAAATGAGTGGTGTATGTGAGAACATCAGTCGTAGTTCCTGTCATGAAGTAGGCATTCTGTAAATTTAGCTGAATTGGAATCTAGCTAAATACTTGTTTTATATCTTTAAATGGATTGATTATAAGCTTCTTGAGAAGAGAGATCATATCTTCTATCTTCCTTTTATTGCTCCTCATCACTTGGGCCGGCTCTATGCCTCTGGTAGGAGTTCACGCAAGGTTGATTGGTGGACAGGTGTATAATGAACTAATTTGGATTAGCCCTGGAATAGTGAGCAGTTATTTCAGTCAGATATTTGAATCTTCTTTCCTTCTGTGATTAAGATGTAAGTAATGCTGGATGTCGTGTGGAAAGACAGAGTTTAGAAATATTTTATAGGAAGAAATGGAAAGGTCCCACAGAGAGTCAGAGGTAAATGCACATGTTTGGATTTTGTGCTGCAATTGATGAGTAACAGATGGTTTTTTAGAAGTGATGTTTTTTGAAAGAGTTCCAACTTTAAGAAAGAGAAAATTCTTTGAGGATGAATAGGAACTGCACTCTAACTTCTGTATTATAAAAGAAGAAGCAGAATCTCCTGTTAGGTTTACCAAAAGAGAGAAACTCCCTTATCCCTTGTGGCCAGGGGGAGGCAACTGGGACTTTCAAGCTATCTTGTGAAGTTAAAAAGCAGATGTTTATATAGTATATAATACATACATGGTATATTATAATTTCATCACTGGAGTTTCTATCTTGTTTTCAGCTTTCACATGAATTATTTTACTTACCTAGTACAGAACCATTAATATATAATCTTCCTTGTGTTCATGGTTCACCAGCAGGGTGGTAAAATGACAAGCAAAGTATATTTTTAAATTATACCTCTCAGTAGAATAGAGACACTTATTTAGAATATTGTTAGTGAGAAAAAATTTGATAGTAAATAGAATTAGAATATTCTGAAGTAAAAAGCCTGGAAAAGGCAGTCGAAACAATAGTAATTGTTGTAGAAGAAAACAGATGGCTGTGGGTTGGTAGATGGAGATGGTTTAGCTCATCTTGATGAAAATCAGCAGGACATTGGGAATTATTGAACAATTCACTGAATGACTTATTTTCCTATGAGTGTTATGAAAGAAACCTTAGTGAGGAATGACTGGTAGAGATGACTCCAATGTCCAGCAAAGTTACGGGTTTTCAATGGGTGGTGTGAAAAGGAATTTATTCCCATCAATGAGGATAATGCGAACTTGTCATAAAATTCACAAAACCATCTCTTTAGATTTGTAGTAGGAACTTTTGTGGCATGTTAATTGAGTTGCTTCAGGCAACAGGGGAGCCTTTGGTTTTATTTGATCTCACACTATTGTTGCTCTGTAGCTTCCATTAATCAAAGTTACAATGTGGTTAGGACTAAATAGAGCCTTAAAGAAAATTATCTTCTAGGTTTTTGAAGCCAGTGAGATGTTTTACTTATTATGCTAACATCAGAATGTTTCTTGCCAAGAAGCCCAAATTTCTTTGAGTAAATTGGTTTGATTGTATCAATATCCTTTAAAATGAATGTATTTAAAGATCCAGTCTAATTTTGAGACGAGAGAAGGCCGAAAGGTTTTTAGGTAACTTTGGCTATGTTCTCTACTTCCTACTGGGACCAGGAGTGGAAACATTTATAGTAACAATGTGAGTAATATTCTGAAGGAAGCCAATCTAACAATGTGTGAGTTCAGAAACCTGTCAGCCAAAATGGGGTAGCAGATTTTGATGATTTTGATTGTTGAAGGGGCCCTTGCACTATCACTTTTCATTCCTTTTGATAGGAAGTTTTCACATTTAATGGAAAGCCTGGACCTGTTTGGCTTATATTCATACATACACACATAGGTATATGTCAAAATAACTACTTTGTAATTTTTTTAATAGCATTTTGTGAACATTTTCCATGTCATTAAATATTATTCTACGATAGCATTTCCCATATGTCTTTAGAACACAAATACCCCCATTAAATTTACGTGTTCTGTGGGTAGATAAATTTGAGAGATAGTTCATATTCTCTGCTCTTATTGGAGTACCTGAAAGCATATTAGCTTAGGAAGATTTACACCACAGACATCCATTTAACACTTTTTATCCCCATCTTTTATAGACTTCTTTAACCTTAAATCTTTTTATCATCCGATACCTATTAATGTCTTATGGGATTTGTATTCCGCAGAACATACTTTAGAAAATGTTCTTCAACATTATATTAATGGCTGCATAGTACTTTATTATATGAATATACTATAATTTCTAGTCTATTATAAATAATGTGATAAGTATCTTTGCAAATAATCTTTGTATATATTCATGATTCTTTTTCTAAAAAGTAAGGTTACGAGATCTAAAGGTCTATTCCAGTATATTTCTAAGTTCATTTATATCACCCAGAGCTCTGATGTGACTCATCTGTTTTGTATATTTTACCCATATTGATATTTGTGGAATCTTGTGACAACCACTGATTATATTATTGATTAGCTTAAGATATCATATTTCTATGCACATTTGTAACTGCTCTAATGCTCTAACAATATTGAATATATATCTATCTACATGTTTTATTATAAGGTCCTGAATATCTGAATATAAAATATACCAAAATGATCTGAAATTTTTCTTACCACTATTTGTCTCTTATTAACTAGGTAGATCTTTAATTAAGAAAGGTTTTTTTTTCTACAAGTCTAGATGACTTCATGAATAACCTTGAATGATTTGTAAAAACATTTATGTAATAAAAATATTTAACTGAATAAACTAATCAAAATTTATTGGATACATTACTCTTCTCTTTAAATGTTTACCATATATGGTACAACAAATTTATGTATTAATACATTTGTATTTGTAATTAGTAGTAGAGATTATTAGGGGTGATATGAACTAGATGCAACTACAGACAAATGTGCAATTCTTATGTTTTTATTTTACTACATAAATGCAGAGAAACATAGTATAGCAAGCTTTCAAGTTCTGTGTCGACTATTCAAGCAGTAAAACCTGGATGGGCTTTCAAATCCGCTTTCTTTTTCACTCTCTTTTGCTAATTATTTCCATTTTAATTGTTGCAGTGGGGTCTGATGAACTGGATAGCTACATGTATCAGACAGTGGGGCACCATGCCATTGACTTGTATGCAGAAGCAATGGCTCTTCCCCTCTATCGCCGAACCATAAGAGGAAGGAGCTTGGATACAAGACAAGTGTACACCAAATGTGAAGGTGATGAGGTTGAAGATCTCTATGAGCTTTTGAAACTTGTTAAGGTATGCAGAGTAACCAATTAAGTATATTGGATTTAGTGTGTAATTTAACAAATTACATTTGCCGAATTATTTAGTAATCCGTAATTTGCAATTGTTAGTAGCCCAACTATTCTTTAAAAGGATTTTGTCTTTTTTTGGTTAGAAAAAAACTGCAAATGATTAGTATGCCTTTATATTAAATGATATTTAAAAATAAGACGTTTTGTATAGTTTGGCATCCAGGATTATCAAATGATATTAAAATAAGTTTTCTGTTCCTAAGGAAAAGAAAGATTAGAGCTGATGGCCATTTAATCTCTTTATTAACAAATATTTTTTGAATGCCTACTATATGCCTGGCATATAGTGCTAGACACTGGGGATAGAATGGTGGACGCATACGTTAAAGGCTTATTCTAATGGAGCTCACTTTCTAGTGGAAGAGGACAGACAATAAACAATAAATAACATGCTTGATAGTGAAGAGTAATATGAGGAAAAATGAAGCAGAATCAGATTGCACATGATGGCAGGGCATAGCTGTGGAGGTGGTGCTACGTATGGTTGTCAAGCAAGACATTTCTGATAAGGTAACAAGTAGATGTAAAGAAAATGAGAGACTGAGCCTTGCTTAAATCTGTTGGAACAGGTATGAATTTAATGCATAAGTCACAGAATGTAAGAGTTTGGCAGCCATTTTGCACTGATTAATTTCTAGGAGCGTATATTTGGGCTCATTTATCTAATAGTTACTATACTCAGTAAATGGTAATTAATAAGGATGATTTTATATTAAGCAACTATCTTTTCATTTTTATTGATAGCCAACTATTTGAATACAGTTCAGTTATTCTTCTAAGTATGAATTTTTATTCAGTCCGTTACAATCGATTCATATAAGGCAGATTTGATGAAGTAGGGAATTCAAGCCAGTATTTCTTGATGTCTTGCCATTTTTCACAAGGGGAAGGAAAGAAGATTCCTGTCCCTTCCTCTACAAAGGTACATTGCATTTCACTTTCTCACTCTTCAGAGAAGTTCAGTTTTTTCAGAAGTTACCTCATGAACTTCTGTCATGAAAATTTTCTAGTTTCAAGTAGCTACTTAAATGACATACTTTGAGTTTCATACAAATCAAAAGTTAATTAAGGATTTTGATTTGAAAAATATATGAAGCACTGAAATTCTTTTAAAATTTGTTTGACTAAAATAGTTCTTATTTTGTATGTCAGAACATTTTATTTTATTCTAAAAAGAAACTGATAAGAAAAACCCTTAGAGTAGTTCCAAAATTTTCTGCTTAGTTATAGATAGCATAAGAAGTAGACACTTTTGAAAGGAAATCACAAGGACCTGCTTTCTTCCCTCTGGGAAGATACATGCTAATAAACATTTTGATTATCAAACAAGGTAGAAGGCTTAAAAGAATCCTACTTTTAGTGGTCATATCTCCAAAAGGGTGCAATTATGATCTTGACAGTTTTCACTTTGAAGTGTGAACTACTGAGTGTAAATCCTGCATTTTCAAAATTTCTTTCTCATGGTACAAAGAATTTGGGCATTAAGTTTTTATATAAACCAATATTATAAAATGATGAGACTCACACTAAAGTAATTGGGTTGCTTAAAAATCACAAACTTGATCACTTTGGAAGAACTCCATGATAATAACAGCCCTCCAAGAAAGAGAGATAATAAATTACAATTAATAATAAATTTAATTAAAAATGGGCAGATTAGCAATAATTAAGAAGAAATTTTCTTTTCCATCCATGCTGTCTTTGGAGAAATGGATGCTTTGCCATTATTATCTTTATGCTAACCATCAGTTATGACATAAATTAATGCTAATGTTAAATTCTTGACAACTTATGCTTTGGAAGTTTGTACATGATAATTATAGTTGAAAGATATGTTATCAAGTTGTCTGGGACTAAATAGTTCCTTCTTTTCCTGTGTAGAAATATTAATTTTACTATAGGATATTTTAAGGACATAAATATCAGAAATATATTGCTTTTATGGAAGTGATTGTATAACTAGGCTTTTATAGTTAAATTCATTTATGAAACACTGGTGCAAAGATTCCAGTGGAGGTCTTACATATTCTAATGAATAACTGAGTAATTATGAAAAAAAATGAATCTAGAAAAGCTATAATTTTTCAAGTTTGTCTTTACTTGTTCTAAGAAAAAGAAAGAACTGCATTTTTTAATCCTTTGAGTATTAATGGAGTATGGAAAGCATTTAGATTTATTTTCACTATAAACATTTATTTATAACAGGTTACAGCTTTGCAACTTTCACACATAAGTCTTGTTTTTGTAACATTTTCCCCACAAATATTAAAACTCATTTTTGAATAGATGTTCCTTTTTGCAAAGAGTTTAATTTACTAATTTCTGAAAAGAAGTAGGAAAGACTTGGAGGAACTTGTAGAGTTATGTTTCATAACTATTTTGTAGAAATTATGACACCTAATAGAAATGTAATAAGCCTTTGTCTCATAAATTAGCAGGTGACTCTGACAGCTAGAGGTATGTATCTCAAGCTGTTTGCGAAAGATTTTTCATGTGGCTAATCTTTTATTCTTTAGAATTTCTTTACTGTTAAAATGTAACTTCTGTTCTTATCTAGTTTAGTTTAATGGATAACTGTATTATTTCCTGAAAATACAGTAATTTCCAATTGTTTGTTTTCTTTTTAAGTCACGTGAGCAGTGTAATAGTTACAGAAAGATACATATAAGCACTATATCTCTATAGGAAATATATGTAGGGATTATATTCTTTCTGTTCTGCTGGGTTGGAACTACTTTCTGGATCTGATGTCTTCCTTTTTCTTGGTTTATTCCTTAGTTTCAGTATAATCTATATTTAATAAACTGCCTTAGGGGACTTTGGAATCTTTCCATTTTGAAAATGTTCCTATTCTGCTCTCATATTTTATTGATTTGGTTGAATTTAGGACTTTAAATTGAAAGTCATTTTTCCTCAGATCATTGACAGCATTGTTCCATGGTTCTCTAGCCTTTTGCTGATACTGGTGTGATTGTTGTTCCTTTTTAGGTGGCCTGTTTTTGTTCTCTGTTAACTTTTATGATGTGTCTTTATGCTTGGTGTACTGAAATGTCACAGTAATGCTGTATTGAGTGTTGTTTCTCCTGCATCGCTTCCCTAAATTCCTATTGAGTAGTGACACATCCCTTGTCCTCTTTCTCTGATTGATGGTTTGGGGATAGGCATGTAATCCAGGTGATAGCCAGTCAGAACATGGCATTCTTCTGGCCATAGTGATTGGATCAGAGATGGTTTTGTTAACCTATGTTTGTCCTAATAGAATGAAGCCTAGAATGTTGGGTAGTTGGCAGAAGATAAGCTCTTCTCCTTCTGTGCAGAGAGATGTGTGGATGTGAGACCTAAAACTGCCATAGCCATTTTTATTCTTTTGACGGGAGAAAACTTGATGTCAAATCTGATACACAAAATATTGCAAAGCCAATAGAATTGCAGTGTAAGGATGGTTCTTCCACTAGTTGTTTGATAATTTGTTCCTTTTGATTTTCTCTGTTCCCTTTTGCTGACACTCTCACTAGTCACATATGAAACCTTCTAGACTGAATCTTCATGTATCTTTATTTTTAAATGTATTTTCTATCTCAGTGTCTTTTTGTTGTATGTTCTGTGAGATTTCCTTTTAAAATTTCCCTACTTTCTTGTTAAATTTTTCTAAATTTTAACCATCATATTTTCAGTAGTCAAGAACTTTTCTTGTTTGTCCATTGTTTTTTAATAACAACTTATTTTTCTTTCTATAGATGTAACATCCCTATATCCTCTTAAAATACAGAGATTTTAAACATTGTCTTTCGTTTCCTGAAATACTGGTGTTTTCTTTTCTTTTTTTTTTTTTTTTTTGAGACAGAGTTACGCTCTTGTTGCCCAGGCTGGAGAGCAATGGCACAATCTTGGCTCACCACAACCTCTGCCTCCAGGGTTCAAGCAATTCTCCTGCCTCAGCCTCCTGAGTAGCTGGGATTACAGGCATGCACCACCATGCCCGGCTAATTTTGTATTTTTAGTTGAGACGGGGTTTCTCCATGTTGGTCAGGCTGGTCTCAAACTCCCGACCTCAGGTGCTCTGTCCACCTCGGCCTCCCTAAGTGTTGGGATTACAGGCATGAGCCACCGCTCCTGGCCAATATTGGTGTTTTCTTTGAGATGTTTTTTTTTCTTAGTTTTCTTCTCTTTCATGTTATAGGCTTTTCTCTGATGTTTTGGTTGCCTTTTCATATCCAAGAATAATACAAGAGGAAAGCTGACTGTGAATGCTTTTGACTCTAGAATTTTCCCAACCTCACATCTCACACTTGTTATTCCTGGAGTTCAGGATAGTGTGGCCTAGTTTGGTTCCTTTCTTGGCTCTGTTCTCTTCCATGCAAACAGTAGATTATGGCTGTCTGTGCTGACTGATCAGTCATGATTCCTTCTTTATCTGCTTTCTAACTTAATAAATTAATTGAAATCCTTTTTTCATTGGTTCTTTCCTTCTGTTTATTATTATTGACAGTAATAATTGAGGGATTAAAATTTTAATAATAAATATTAAATACATAAATAATAAATTTAATAATAAAAATAACAACAATTATTTTTTATTATTGACAGCAATCTAAAGATAACTAGATTCAAGATAACTAGATATAGGACCCAAATTTTATAATCAAAGTCAAGATTTTTTTGTTTTGTTTTGTTTTCTGTTTCTCTCTTACCTCTACTTTCTGTAGAGGTAAGACCTCAGTCAGGACCTTGTAATTAGGGGATGGCTCCCAGTTGTATTCTTCTTGGTTAAAATGCAGTAGGAAAAGCTCCAGTTTTCATTTTAATAGCTTAAAGGGGAAACTTAATTGATCTGACGTGTAACATATTCATGAGTCAGTTGTGGTTGGGAGAAGATGACTTTGATTTGGTAGGCCTAGATTGTGTGTCATCCTAAACTAAGAGATGGAATCATGACTACTGGGAATATGTTTACTAGGAGTAAAGGAAGGGTGAATCTCCAAATATAAATCAGGCTGTTGCTGGTAGAAGGGTGAACTGTGGCAGTGGGGACAAAGAGTAACATGTTTTCTAAAAATGTGTGGGTTTCAACTTGGAAACCATCCTAGATGATTCTTTTTTTTTTTTCGAGACTGAGTGTCGCTCTTGTCACCCAGGCTGGAGCACAATGGCACGATCTCAGCTCACTGCAACCTCCGCCTCCTAGGTTCAAGCAATTCTCCTGCTTCAGCCTCCTGAGTAGCTGGGATTACAGTTGCCCGCAATCACACCTGGCTAATTTTTTTTGTCTTTTTAGTAGAGACGGGGTTTTGCCATGTTGACCAGGCTGTTCTCAAACTCCTGACTTCAGGTGATCTGCCTGCCTCAGCCTCCCAAAGTGCTGAGACTACAAGTGTGAGCCACCGTGCCCAGCCAATTCTTCTTTTTTAATCTCTTCTCTCTTCCCTCCCTCCCTTCTTCCCTTTTTTCCTTCCTCCTCCTCTTTAAAAAACAGTTGGACATTGGGGCTAAAGCAGTGAGCTTATAGTTAAGGACCTGTATATTCAGTTGCTCATGATATTTCCACCTTAATATTCCACTGGCATGGTAAACTAAACAAATTCAAAACTTGTTTGTTATCTTCCTACACAAACTTGTTCCATATTCTGTATTTCCTTAATTAAAAGCATCATCATTTACCTCATCATCTAAGTCAAAACCTAGGCCCTACTGTGAGACTTCCATTTTTTCTCAGTCCCTTTCTCCACTCCATCCCCCTCAACCATCACCATTATAGCTCCAGCACCTATTGATAATGCTGGTATGACTTCTAAAATCTGACCCCTTGACTTCATTCTCACCACTACTGGTTTTTCATCTGTACTATGCGAGAGCCTCCTAATCAACTTGCCTTCAGTATTGCCCTATGCTCCATCCACCTCGTCTACCAAGTTGTTGGCAGCTGATCTGTATAAATGCTTAAATGACCCATGATTAAGATATAGTCCAAACACATTAGGCTAACACAGAAGGCTCTTTAAGAAGAGGGCCTGGCAGTCCTACTAGTCTGATCCTGCTATTCTCACACAAGCACCTCTGGGATCAAGTTATAATGAACTAATTAGTTTCTAGGAGATTGCTTTTCATGTCTGAGTCTTCGGCTGTGCTTTTCTTTATGCTTATCTCTTTGTCCTCCTGAAGAACCCCTTCTCACCTCATATTCTTTTGTGAAACCTGCCCTAATTTACCTTCCTCCTTTCTGTTCCATGGCAGCTTGTCTATAACTCTACTGTGGGTCTCATTGCATCATTAGGCTTGTTTTTGTGGCTGTCGCTTTTGCTAGATTGTGAGACCTCAAAAACATGATAGTGCTGTTCATTTTTGTATCTGTCCTAGCAGAGTTCCTGACATATGGAGGCTCTTAAAAGAATATTGAATATTAAAAGAATAAGTTTAGTAAAAAAATGTATCAAATTATTCCAACTTAGGCTGGGCACAGTGGCTCCTGCCTTGTAATATCAGCACTTTAGGAGGCCGAGGCGGGCAGACCACTTTCAGGAGTTCAAGACCAGCCTGGCCAACATATTGAAACCTCGTCTGTACTAAAATACAAAAATTAGCTGGGCGTGGTGGTGCGTGCCTGTAATCCCAGCTATTCAGGAGGCTGAGGCGAGAGAATTGTTTGAACTTGGGAGGCAGAGGTTGCAGTGAGCTGAGATCACACCACTGTACTCCACAGCCTGGGCGACAGAGTGAGACTCTGCCTCAAAAAAAATTTTTTTAATGTAATTATCGGATACAGGGGAGCCATGTTACTATGATATGTGATATAAAACCATTGGCAAATTCATTTTGTCTTTTGTTTTCCTATTTAGAAGCTTAAATGGAATGGGCATCATAGTGGAAGTTTTCAAAATAAGGCATCCTATCAGTGTAACCACTAACTGTACCAAGAATAGTTTCCTTCTGCACACTACTTTATGAAAATGCTGAGCAGAAACTCTTTCTAATTAGTTTTAGTATATGCATCTTAGAAAACCTGATTATGGTGGAAAATTACTTTGTGAATCTCTTTTCACTTCACTTCATGAGGGAAAAACCTGAGATTGTTGGGTGGCTCTGAGGCAAATCTGAAGGATTTGGAATGGGAGAAACATATAAGATGGACTTAAGATTTTCAGGGAGGACGCAGACATAGCATTAGTTAAACAGGCACACAGCCCTGTACAAATTGCTCCTGGCTCCTCAGAACTGCACAGCTTGCCTCAAGCCCTTTCAGTTCCCAGGATTTTGGATATTAAACCTGGTCCCTTGGCATAAGAAATGCTTTTCTAGTATTGACTCTGGACTCTAAACAGGAAGAATTGGCATTGGAACAGACCAGTGTCATTTTCACTCCCAGGTGCAGCTTTATTGAGGCTGTGCCACATCTGGTCCTTTCAGATGATAAAGTCAAGCGTGCATGAGGAAGTACATGAAGGAAGATCTGTCTGGAAATAAAATGTTGTACCATATTTGTCAATTACTATAGTTCCTAAACTTATCACAGGTTCAAAGCCTTCATCTATAAATTCCCCCTAAAGCCTAGAAAATGTGACTCCCTCATTTTGGCAAAATCATCATTCTGTCTCTTCAACCTTGAACTTTTCTCCACTTGGTATCAGTGATTGTGTGTATATATTGCACATGCACATGTATACCCTTTGTATTTATCTTTTCCCAGAGTCAGTGCCTCTCTATAAATTTATCAACTGACTTATTTTTATATCCTATATTCCTTTCTTCTACAAACTATGGATTTCTTCCTATCTTATCATCTACTCTATATATCTTACATTGTGTTGAGTATTTTTGACTTTTCTTTCAAATATCTTTCTTTATATTTTCAATCTCTAGTGTCTGTATCCTGTTGACTGGTTGGGTTTTTTTGTTTGTTTGTTTTTGTTTTGTTTTTCCTATGCTACCATTTATTTTTAAAGAAACCTTTTGTAGATGTCTCCTTCTGGAGTTGTGTTGTCTGGGATGCTAGGTGTAAGTCTCTGTCCTATAGTCTTCTACTTCATTTCTAGGCCTGTAGTTTATCTTGTCTTTGCCATATTCTTATTAAATGACTGAGAATACATTATCCAGATTGATAAGCATAAATTGCTTTATTTCTTTGTTGTTGTATATTTTTGAAGCACATGACTTTATTTGTGGTCACACAATAATAGATCCTGAACTGATTTTTTTATAACAACTTTACCTTTTAAATTGGGAACATCTTCAGTCAGCATATTTGTCGTGCCTAAATCATTAAATCGTCAAAAAAAATGATATTATTGATAAATACTTAGTGTTTTTTTTTATTTTTTATTTTTGGTTAGAAATGGTTTAATAGGAGCTTGTTCTGTGATGTGCTGATGTGGGAAAATATTGAGTGAATAAAGAGGAGTTGAATAAATGTCTTAGTTGACCTTGACATTCCTGTTGATTTTAATGTATGCTACTACTATTTTTCTTAATCCTCTTATTCTTTCATTTGTCAAACATTAATTCAATGCTTATAATGTACCAGTATTGGAAAGTAAAAACATGTATGAGGCATAGTCTTTGCCCTCACAGACCCTGAAAGGATAAGACACTTATACAGAGAAATTAATACAAGGTACAGTTGCCATTAGAGCATGCAACTAAAGGGTTATGGGAGTTCAGAGGGTGAAAAAATCCCATTTGGGGGATCAGAAGGGCGTTATGGGCAAGTTACATTTGATATCTGATAGGGTTTGGCTCTGTGTCCCCACCCATATCTCATGTCAAGTTGTGATTCCCAGTGTTGGAGTAGGGGCCTGGTGAGAGGTGATCAAATCATGGGGTGGGCTTCCCCCTTGCTGTTCTCATGATAGAGTTCTCCTGAGATCTTGTTGTTTGAAAGTGTTTAGCACCTCACTCTTCACTCTCTCCTGCTGGCCATGTGAAGATGTGCTTGCTTTTCTTTCGACTTCTGCCATGATTGTAAGTTTCCTGAGGCCTCCCTAGAAGCAGAAGCCTGTACAGCCTGCAAACCTGAGCTGATTAAACCTCTTTTCTTTAAAAACTACCCAGCCTCAGGTAGCAGTGCGAGAACAGACTAATACAATATCCTTGAAGATTATTTGGATTTTGACAGATGACAGACATTGGAGGATGGCTAAGAGAATGTTAAAAATTACCGGAAGTTCTTAGCCAAAGTCTTGTAAGCAGGAAATTATGAAATGTATTAGGGAAATAGAGTGGTTCAATTTGATTTAGGGTTTAAAGTTTGAGGAGTGGTGGAAAATAAGTCTGTAAAGGTTGATTAATACCAAAAAAGAGAGTGTCTTAAATTTTAGGTCAAGGATTGTTCAGATGGTGGAAAGCCCCTGAGATGGTATTTTCTAAACTCAATTTAATGAGTGACAACTATTTTTATAAAAAATGCAAGAGCCTAGAATATAATAGATAATATCAATATGCATTGTAATAGGTTAATTATTGTTTTGTGTAACGTAATAGATATGTACAGGCACATATGCGTATGCTAGGCTATTACATTGTATATTTCTTACTGTTCAACAAATTCTTGTGGTCATCAGGGTGAACTACTAATATAATACAAGAAATGGATTAGAGATAGGCAACTCTGTAGGTGAGTTCAAATTAAAAACTAAGATACTAGGTATCTGAAAGGTTTGAGAGCCTGAACATGGGGAATGCCAAGGGGAAAGGTGAAAAGGGGACATTCTAGAGAGATTGATTGGACTTGATGATGGTATTTAAATAAATAGTGACAAAAAGTCTATATAAGGTACCTTGTAAACTGACAATTCCACAGCTAATTTATATAGTTTTACTGAGCGATATTGGTAATCAAAATGAATTATGATAGCTATATATTATAAATATTATGATCCTATATTTTATAGCATCCTGTCATTGTCATCTCTTTAATCTGGTAAAGGATTGAATAGAAGATGCTTCATATCAATATGGGTTCATTTAATCAGAATCAGTTCTTAATACATTTTGGTCTTGGTTGTATCAACTGAAATAGTTTATCCTTATTTCTTAAAAGCACCTAGTGTGGATTCACAGAAGTAAGCAAAACTATGATATTAGTATCTTTTCAAATAATTTATATAGATGAAATTCAAATTATTGCATTATTTTTGATATGCAATTACACATTTGCCGGTAAATCAAGCAAAATATAGTCTTAATAGATTCTGTAGCCTTTTGGGCATCATAACAGATTGAACCTGGCTTTAGACCTATAAATTAATTGACCCCTTAAAGTTTACTTCTGGTCTTTCTCCAGTCTCTCATCCCCTATAATTTATCCTTTAAACTCCTGTGAGAGAGGAATCTTTCTAAAGTGTAGATTTAATCACATTTCTCTTTCCATCAGACATTCATTGCTTAGCATCGTTCTGCTAGGTGCACTGCAATATGACTTCAGTTTATTTTTTGTCTTTTCTCAGATTCTCCTACATGTAAGCTACGTGCCATCTAAACTAGACTATTGTCGGAACTCATTCTTCCCCATACGGTCCATGCCTTTCCTGAATAGTGCTGCGTTTTAGTCAGAAATAACTTCTCCTTTCCAACTCCTTCTTTTGCATGATATCTCTTTCCTGATGTCCTCCTCAGTTCACCCCACTGAATATAATATCTTCCTTCCTTAAACCCTCATGTCACATTTTAACTCTCTTGTAGTACTTAGTCTAGTTTAATACACAAAGCTAAGATTTTAAGAAAATCTATCTTGTGGGTTTTGTTTTGTTTAAAGATTATAAGTAACTTGAGGAATAGGGATTATATTTCATTATTTTTATTTCCTATGAGACTCCATACAGCTCCTAGACTATAATAGGCATTGTGTTAAACTCTACTCCTCTGGAATTCAGTTGCTCCATCTATAAAATGTGGGTATCTCTTTCTTCTTTTCTTATTTATCTGTTTTGAAAACAAATGAGAATATATTTGAGAGCCTGTCATCCTCATTTTAGCCTCAGGTCTTCTCCTTCATTCTCTAGCTTCCAGAATAATCTAGTAAAGTCATTTTTTTTCATTGCATACAGCATTCCATTAGTATATTAATATTAAGTGGTAGTTACAAGTGGGCATTGAGATGAGTGTAATTTTCTTGACTTTATTAGTAAGTTAATGCAGAGAAGAAAACGAATGATAAACGTTCAGTTGTGAAAGAGGTTTTAGTGGGGGTAAATTTATATTATAGATTGGATTGAATTGATCCTTCTACATTTGGTGCCTATAATTTTGGGCCATCCTTAGCCTGTTTTAGACTTCTTCAGTCAGATAATTCAGCCTTCCAAGAGACATGTAGAATTAATGCTTTCTAGTTTCCTATGTGAGTTAACTGAGGCATGGGCCATTTCAAAAGGAGATAAAGAGGGTTAACCTAAAGATATCAGTGGTTCTAATAGGTGATTTTTTTCCATTAAAATTTATTTTGGCATGTTCTTTTAGAATTTAACTCCATGCTTGTCTTTAAAATCTAAGCAGTATATTTTGTATGAACTCATTTGTAGAAAGCCTCAAGCAAGGACTTAAGTGTGAAAGTTAGGTGAACCAAGTTTAGAAAATTCAGACTTTTTGGAGTATATGAATTAAAAGATTTAAAAAACAGTTCTTTCTTCAGAGGCAGTAGAATGGGGCCATCATTTGTGCTCCTGTATGTAAAAGCAATTAACTCTCAACACCAGCAGAATTATGCCATACTTATTTGTATACAGTGCTGAGCCACGTGGTCACTTTGTGTACTCGTACACAGTGGGTGCTCGATGAGCAATTGTTAAACTTACCAAAATTAAGCCTATCTAACTTTGACAAAATTATGCTAATATTGATCCCCATAGATATCTTTCAAAAGACATTGACAATCAGAAAAGGCAGAAACTATCAGACATTTATTTGTCTTTCTTGTGCAGAATTTGCTGATTCTTCTGTACTCCCTACTATAAGATTGGTTTTGGAGCCATTGAAATGCCCCATGGTCTATTTTAAGACCAGTTCTCTTACGGATTCTTTCCTAGGTAGTAATTTTGCAGGGAGGTGGGAAGGGAGGGAGAACAATGATCATTTGATAAATAACCCATGATCTTCCCTTTGAGCCTTTCATGATTTATCTCTTTAAAACATTTTTATTGGCCTGATAGCCATTTCTTGTGACATCTTTAACCCTTATCCAAGTTCTTCTGATTTTCAGTGGTCATATATCCTGGACGTAATTACAGAAAGCATTATAATAAGGATCAGACTAGTAGATTTCATCTAGGATAATGCACTACTTTAAGATAGGATTTATTAATCTGGAAGGGAGAGGTATTCTTGAACTATGAAATTTTATGCAAATGTTTTGTAGGTGTAAATTTTTCTGGGAGAGGAAAAATGTTTTTTGAGATAGGGTCTTATTCTGTCACCCAGGCTGGGGTGCAGTGGAGCTATCGTGGCTCACTGCACCCTTGAACTCCCAGGCTCAGTTCATCTTCCTGCCTCAGCGTCCTGCATATCTGGGACTACAGGTGCATGCAACCATGGCCGGCTAATTTTTGTATTTTTTTTGTAGAGGTGAGGTTTCATCATGTTGCCCAGGGTGGCCAATTTTTGTCATAGTCTTACTATGTTCTTTTCAAAAGTTTAACAGCTACTATTTTAACCATCACTTTCAGAAAGCCTTGTAGCCTGGGAGTATTCATGAATACTCAATAATTAGTTGTCCCCTGAGCTTGTAACACATGCTATGCTATGTGCTATGAGATCAGATGGGTCTTCTGGGGCTTCCAAAGAGTGAAGAGTCACATGAGGTAGATCCTGAGAGCAGACGAGTATGCTGTGCATTTCTCAAGGAAGACATTAAGATCTAAAAGAGAAGGGAGTATAAAGCATCTTAAATTTCAGGTAAGAAGTGATGGGGGCCAGGGATGGGACAATAGGCTTGGGGACATGGCTTGTTCTAAATAGCCTTTGGATTTTATGTTGAAGGAGAGAAGAATAGGGATGTAATCAAGGCATTGCTCTTGATTTCCTCAAGTGTAGCTTTTGTTTTTAAAAATTTCTATTGCATTATTTACTTTTGTGGGTACTTATTATGACTTGTTTTATGTAATTATTTGCATTTGTAATATATTCTCCCTGTTAGTTTATAACCTCATGAGGGTAGGAACTGAATGTTTTTCAAATTTGAATACTCTTCAGTGCTCATCATGGTGCCCTGTCCATAAGAAGTATTCAAATTTTTTTGTTGTGTATTTCCTCCAGAGATGATGTGAAGGATTTTTATATCAAATAGTCAACTTTATGGTAATCCAAGGGAGAAATTTCTCTCAGGACTTAGTATTTGTAATAGTTTAGCCTTAACATAACTATTTGATAGTTTTTATTGCATGAACGCTGTAAATCATGCAACTTAAAGTTTCCTCTTTATATTGATTGCTGGAAAACCCAGAGCCATGTGATTTTCTTTCAGTTTTCTGTGACTTATTGTAATTATAATTGCAATTTATGTAGCACTATCTTCTAGATAACTGCTATAAGCTCTATACACATATATTCTAATTTTATCCTTACATCAACCCTTTGCAGATAAGTAAACTGAGATACAGAGAGGTTAAGTAACTCATCCAAGGTTACACAGCTAAAAAGTGGTAGAACATGTACTTTTAATCACTATGTTCTGCTGCCTCCCAGAATTGCATTTGTGTTAATTCATGCAGATATTACTATATTACAGTACATATATAGTGCATACATAAACCAATAAGGTATGTGTAAATTGACAATGAGGCGGAGGGGAAGGCATATGGTTTGATAAGGGGTTAGGGTTATTAAGTCAGGGATCAAAGTGATCTGTCTGTGTCTGATCTTGTTTCAGAGCTCTCAGAATAATTTTAAATAATTACTACTCAAAGTGTGGTCTAGGGATTAGCCTGGTGCTAGTCCATGAAGTGTTTTGTTCAAGACAAGATATATAGAGAAATTCAAAATAAGCATTTAGAAACTTTTATAGTAATATGAAAGAGTAATTTTGTTTCTTTTGAATCTAATAATAAAAATTTGACCTTGTATTTTGTATCTTTTAAAAATGTTAATCTTTTAATTCATTTTGTTGTATTTTACAAGTTTCTATCTTTGAAGGGTTGGAAATGTAAAAAAAAAAAGTGGTTTATAACACAGTTTGAGAAGCACTGTTTTAGGTAATAGCTTTGCAAGTTTTTAAACTGGTTTGTTTGAAAAAGAAAAAAAAAACCACGATCTGTGGTTTGAAATTGCATTTTAATCTAAGCCTGTTTCTGAAGATGTATTAGGAATTAGTAATTTGGGTATTGGCAACTTTCATGGTTCTGTGAGAAGAGGCCCTAAATTGAATTGATTTGGATGGGTGGAGGGGGACATTTTTCATTTTTGTCTTACACTTAGTGCTTTTCTCAAAAGTGACACATTTTAATTAAATTCTTGATTCAAGATAATAGCATGAGGAACTTGTCTGTCATCCATAGTTACAGTCTCCTTTCTTGACTTATCATAGTAGCTAATAAAGCAATTCCAATTTTAGTATGCTTATAATTGTTCCTTGGAATAACAGAACAGTAAAAAGAACAACAGAACATTGCTGATGATGCCAGCTTAGTATCATAAGTTTTTCCATTTATGGAAAGCAAAGGTAGCTTCAGAGATATATTTGCAATCCCAGTTCAGTTTTTAATTTTTCTTTTTCTTTTTGGATAAGTTGGGAAGTCTTGTTCTATAATATAATGTTATAAAATAGGTTCATGTAAAGCTACCAACCTTAATAGGATCTTTTAATGTTCATACAGTTAACATCTCTTCTTTAAAATAATCTCTTATTGGTGGGATTAGTATTCAATGGGGAATTCCTCACTAATTTTTGGATATTATTATAAAAAGCATGTCTCCAAATAGAGATAATGGGCTAAGGATATGAACAGGCATTTCACAGAGAAGTACATTCAAATGACCAAAAAAAAAAAAAAAAAAAGAATGTGTAACTTCACTAACTCAAAAATGCAGCTACACTTTGACAGAAATAAGAAATAATAATGGTTTTGAAGAAACAGATACCCTTATGTACTGCTAGCAGCCCTGTAAATTGGTTCAATATTTCTGGACGGTAATTTGGCAAAACTCATCAAACACAAAAAAATACACTCCTGTAATAAGCAATTCCACTTTGGGGAATTTATAACTAAGGAAATAATTTAAAATATACTTGAAAATTTAGAAATCATTGGCAATGTAAATTATGACATATCTATACAGTGGGATGCTGTATAGCATTAAAAATGAACTTGCAGAAATACATCTGTATATATTTTTAAGAGAAGGAAACAGATTAGGGAATGCTCTGTATGGTATAATAACATTTTTCTACAATGCATTTGTGTAAGTACATGCATAGAAAAATTATCTGTAGGATATATTTTAAGTCTGTGGGCAGAATTAAGAGTATAATTTTTGCACATTTAATTTTTCGGTGTTTTTCTCTAATGAGGATATATTGCTTTTGAAGCTTCCTTGTTGAAGATTTGGCATCTACTTAAAAATGCACTGAATGGTATTGGGGGAAAGGAAATCTTTCCTATTGATTATCAAATCAACAGGATGTCAGCCATTCCCCAGGTCCTTTTTGAAGGTTCATGAGGAGCCTGTTTTTCTTTCAGGGTTGGTTCTTGAAAGCTTGTATGTGAGAGATTTTATTATTTTATTTTATTTTACTTAATTTTTTTGCTGTGACAAATGTCTGTTGTTTTCTAAACAAGAAAGCCAGTGTCCCAGTTAGGTGCATTGAGTTATTTTCATTCACTTGCAGTCCTGTTGTATTAATACTGAATAAGCAGAGACAGCCTGACTGGTGGTGAAAGATGGTAATCCAGCCTCAGGGCTTTTTCTGGTCAATCCTAAACCTCTGATTGCCACGTTTTCCTAATTTCCCATTTCCAGGGCATCACTAGAATGACCTTGCTTGCTGAATATGATGCTCTGAATCTCCAAGATTTTCACATGCATTTGAAAGTGGGCAGCCAGGCGATTGTTTACAGGACTCCAAATGAACTGTGCACTCACAGCAAGTTTGATAAACACACATTTCCTCCTTTTATCAGTGAGATTGCAAAATGTGAAGTATGAGTTTCCAGTTTTACTGATTCCCCTCAACCCTTTTCCTGTTTAAAAACTTAGACATACTAATTGGATGCTGATCTGTCCCTGTTTTTCATTCTGCTTGCTGGTAGTTGACGGCTTAGTTTAGTACTTACCTAGGCAAGATTTGGCAAACCTTCAAAAATGAACTTTCCATGTATTCAACTTAAAGGAGATTCATCCCAAGGAATGTAATGTGAACACTAATTAACATTAATGACTGCTAATCACTTTGCTTTTTATACTCCTTTAGGAGCACTGCTATTATCCAATGTAGTTAAGTAAAATGCTTGTATATGAATCAACAATGTTGCATCCTTTTAGCAGCTATTGCTCACAATCAAGCTTTGCATAAATTAAAGTTGACTAAAATTGATTTTAATATGCTGCTCTTCTTCAATAGTAAACTAAAATATCTAGTTAAATATCCTGCATATTAAAAATACATTGCCTGATTTTTTTTGTAGTCATCCTGTGGTAGATGAAAAGCAATATTGCAAATACATTTTCTCACAGTTCATGACACTTTCTCTTAGATTTCTTCAAAATTGAACACAACTCTTCATAGTCCTATCAGCACTTTGATTCTGTTGTAAGCATTAATTTTGTTAGATCAATGAAAAGCAATCAGCCTATGTTTAATTTTTCTGAATTTGTTCATTTACTTCCTAGAGGATCTTACAGATTCTTTAGATGATATAGTCTATTTATATAAAGTTGGTTCATAGGATTGTACATTCAACATTCATTAAAAAAGGTTGTTTATTATGTTTAGTGAATTACAGGACCATTATAAAAGCTTTCTGTTTATTTACATGCATTCAATGTACCTGTGACTAGAACTGCCTTGCCTTAGGAGGAAACTAAGCAAAACCCATAAATTAATAATTTAAGGGAGCAATACTCAAGTAGCATTTCAGTTAAAAAGTAAAGCCTCAGAGTCAGTACTAGCCACTTTAGCATTGCTTTACTTTTTGACTTTTATTGGCTGAAAATAACTTGTTAAACTGGAGCTTTTGTAATAAAATGAAATCTACATACCATCTAAAGCCCCTTCCCCTCCTTTTGATTTATGAGTAGGTTGACATATTACTGGAGAATTTGTAACACTTTCACAGTTCTGCACTTTGATTTCAGAGAAGGTGCTAATCTCTCTGGAATTTTGAGAGTGACAAAATGAGTTGTATACTGTTTTTCCAGGGAATTTGGGTTCCTTTATTAGAGGCCTTAGTTTTATTATGGTACCTGTATTAATGTGGATTTATCCAATATGTGATATGGTGGTATGATTAGATATACATTAATGGAGGATTTTTTTTTCATTGTACATATTCTACTTGGTTTGATCATATTATAATTCTCACAGCTAATGTCCATGTTTCTACAGAGGTTCAGCAATTCAGGATATTATTTTCAAATTACCAAAATGAGATAATTTAACTCCCTTTTACTTTTGCATTATTTTTAGTGGAAAAAAATTAAATGGTAGTATTATAAGAAGCTTTATGCTGTGTATGCTAGTCTTATTGTATATATGTACTGAAAGTACCTTTGACACTGTACTTAATTGGATTTAATTTCAAAGAATTGTAACAGGAATTATGTGAGAGAATAGAAAATATATGGAACTTAATTAAGTGCTGTCCATATGTAAAGGTAAGATTCATGACTATTGTTTGATGTAACTTATTTATTTTACATCCTGATACTGTTGTATAATAGCACAAAATGCATGTCTATGAGGAAAAACTTGCTTTTTCTATTTTACTTTGAGTTTTTATGTGTAATAAAATTATGCTTAAAATAGGCGAGGATTTCAGTTTTGATTCTTCTTCTTTTGTTTTTTTTTTGTTTTTTTTTGTAGCATGTTTACTTTCACGTGAGAGTGATTGATCTGTAGCTGTCATTTTATCCAAGAAGGGACAAATGGAATTGGTCTTTTAGACAAAAGTATGCAAACAGACTGCATTCTTTCTGTTGATAGAATTATGGAAGAATTGCATGAGGTGCCACATTCAGTTGCCTATTGATTGTAAAGAGGATTCTGCAGTGGGGTGCTGTTTCCAATGGATAAGGAGGTGCTATGATTACTTACCTTTCTCATGAAAGCACTACAAAGGGAAATGCAAAATGTGTGCAGTGCAGTCTTCTCTATTTGACAGTTGTTTTTGTTAAGTTTTTTCCCCCATTGAAGTCCAGCCTGTTTTAGAAAAACATACATTTTAGTTCTTTCCCCTTTATATCAGGCTTAGTAGATTTCCATGCATTTGACCCTTTAGAGAAATTACATGTTATAGACAGTTTTCTTTTTCTCAGCCTCTATTGTAAAGCTTCAAAGCTGATGCAACAGTGCCCTCTATAGTCTTTTAGTGAACATTAGACAGATGTAGATGATTTCAAATGTTCAGGTAAGAAACAGGACATTTAAATTTAATTTTTGTTCAAACAAGAGACCCCTTTTTCCTAAGTAGACATTCTTGTTTTTCACTAGTGGCTTTACTTTAAACAAAGAGAACAAAAGACCATTCTGAGTTTTCATTTAGAATTATTGGCTGCTTCTTCTTTTTATCCCTTGGTAAATCTCAAGTTTTATCAGACGTTCATCAGAGTAATTTGAGAAAGATGGAATCTTACAGGCTGTACTGTCTGTTCATGAAATATCTTTTTGAAGTTGAACTCTGATAGGAGTATTTTTTAAAAATAATTTAGTTCCTTTGTACTTGTTTTTTCTATTTAATTAGAATCTGAGTGGGCTGCCTAAAATTTGACTTCTATTTATTCCTGAATTGTGAAACCCAGTCGTTATACATGACATTATTTAAATTCAAACCAAGGGAGTTACACAATGACTAAAGTGTTTGTCATTCATTAGCATTGATTTAAATTTTAGATTTCCTTTTTCTCTTTTTGGTTACCTTTTTGATTGTATATATTGATAGCTAAGTTTTTCATTGTAAAATGCAACTAGATGTGAAGTTATGGATAATAAAAGCAGGAATCATATTTAGATATGATTAGAAGAGAAAAATGTTATGGATTAAGTTTATTTTGCTTCTGAAAGTGTTTTAATAAAAAGATCACGGGCCCAAGTCCTGGTTTCTTCATGTATTCACTATGTAATATTGAACACGTCTTAACCCCTGCAGCTGCTTTCTCTTCTATAAAATGGGAGTAAAAACACCTTATCCTTTGATGTTTTTGTGAGGTATTAGAGATAATATATTTAAGTTGGCCAGGTCATTAGAGATGCTCAAATGGTAACTTTATTTCCAAAACCACAGTGGGAAAGTAAATGGCTTTTATCTGAGGAAGTTTTTAATATAGAATCTAGAACACATTTAATGCACTTTGGATTTTAAAAGTCCTATCTGGCAATTTCTGGATTTATGTGAATCTGAAAGTTGGGATAGCATTTCTTGGTAATGTGAACTAACATAATGAGATGTGCATTCAGTCTCAACTCCCTACACACCTCATTCCCAAACTTTTAAAATAAGCTGTCTTTGGAATCTTTATTTTAGTAGAAATTTACCCACAAACCAGTATTTAGCAATGTGTGAAAACTGATGATAAAACTCAAAAAAACAAAACAAAACAGGAGTTTAAAATTTTTCCCCTTTAGTGTATCTGAAAATACTTAGGATACTTTTTCAATTATCTGGGTTCTTAGTAATAATAGTCTAGAGCCCTTATTTGTGTTTTCTAGCTATACAGCTTTTGTTTTCTCCACCAGCTACGAAGAAGACTGGTGTGTAAAATAGATGAAAATGGAGCTTTTTTGGTTGAAATGGAGATGGGGACCTAGAGTCCCTCTCTTTCAAAGCAACAGAGTTTAAAAGCCACTTGGTCCTTACAGTTTATGTACGTGTGTGTACATACACTCCTTTTGTGTAAGGGCTTTGTCTTACTTTGGTTTGAATTCATAGTGCCTAATTCTGTACCTGGCACATAAAAGATGTTCAGTTAATGTGTGCTGAATACAGAATTCTTTGAACACCAGGCCTTCCCTTACTGATTTCAAACACCTCATGCATAAAAGTGCAACTTTATGAAGCCATCTAATAGTAAAGTAATTGTTTCTCTGTGAACCAATTAAAACAAACATACTTCTGGCATAATTCATCAATTTAATTTTTTTAAAGTAAAACATTGTTTTAATTACAAATAATTATAGGAAATGAATAAGAAGTATTCGGAATGTGTCTTCAGTATAATTAAAAGCTGTTATATACCACAATGATTGGTTTAGATTCAGACACTTCAAATGACCTGATGATAAAAAATAATCTTACACAATGAACTTTGGAATTGAATGTTCTCAATATTCAGTAAATTGTTGTTTTTCTTGTAAAGTTCTTATTTATGTTTTGTATTGCTTTTGAGTAATCTTGAATGTAATATTATAATAAACCACCTATTGTTTTTTGTATATCACTTGGGTTAAAACTGAGAACTGTGAAAGTATCTTTTTATCACTATAAAGAAGGAACCAATGTTTTAAGCTGATAAAATGAAAAGGTACAAATTCTCAATAACCAAATATGGTAGTTCCTCTTAAAATAATGACCAGTTACAGTAAGAAATATGTTTAAAATTACATTCTGGCTTACAAGACTGACAAGATGCTGTCTACCAAAGAAAAAAATTGAATAAGGTATTTTTTCTTTGCAATGAGAGTACCAAACTAAGAATCCACTTAATTAAAATAGTGATAAATGTAGATTACATTACCGAAGACAGTGAAATACAGCTGCTCTATCTACTGAGAGCCTGCATAATTTACCAAGACTGTACAAAGAAGCAAGGGAGCAGCCACTGCAGACTGTTCAGGAAGCATCCTGTTTATTCTACATACATTTCTTTTTTTAATTAAAATGTCAATGATAATTTTATTAGCAGTCCTCCAAAAAAAATTCTTCTTTAAATTTTTCCAAGGTGGTAGAATATGAGATGAGATCATTACTGCTGCTGAATGAAACAGATTAAACCTGAAAAAAATAGCAAGCTATTATATTTTATTAATTCTGTTTTCTTTATTATGAGTTGATATTGAAGTATGTGATGATGTATGTATATTTTTTCATGTGAGTCTTGCATGAAAGAAATGTGTGGCAAAATCCTTGAATAATATACATTAAAAAAAATCTTTTGGAACCACAAGCAAAATTTGGGAGGAGTCAGTAGTAGTACTGCTTACAAATAAAGGTGTAGGTATGTATGCTCTGGAATTCTTAAAGTGAGGCAGACACCTCCTAGGAGTATATTAGAATCAGCTCCATGCTATTTCCTCTTCATCTCCATCACTGAGTTGTGATTAGGGTTACTATGTGGCATGTGAGTGAGTGAGACCAAAAAAATGATTGCCTGGAGACCAAAAAAGTGGTTGAAAATCTGTTACACTGTATGTTTTTATCCTTTAATGA
Source organism: Homo sapiens (assembly GCF_000001405.40). Lineage (NCBI taxonomy): Eukaryota > Metazoa > Chordata > Mammalia > Primates > Hominidae > Homo > Homo sapiens. The sequence goes on along the minus strand of NC_000015.10, from coordinate 35,516,657 downwards.
TGATCAATGATATGTTCATAATTAAATAGAGTTTAGAAAACCAATATTGTGTTTACCAAGAAATGTTGGTGGGTTTTTTGCCTTTGAGGGATAAGTGGGGACTCTAGGGTTTGACTCCGCTTTGTTCTAGGTTCCACTGCATGGTATGATCTTAGTTTAGTTAACTTCTCTATACCTTGGCTTTCATATTTGTAAAGTAAGACTAGTAGTAGTACGTACAACATAGGGTCATTATGAGCATTTAATGGGATAATCCATGTAGAATAGATCATATAGGAAGCATCAATAAATATTAACTATTACATACTTACTTGTCACTAGAAAAACACTTTCTCTTTCATTGGGGCCATAGAGCATTGCTCATATTTAACTAACTTCATAAGATAATTGTTATCTGTCATGGTTTCTCTGTTGATCTGGTTCTTAGAGAATTTAGCTGTGCTCTTCTGTCTCTTTAGGGGTATTGTGTGGTGGAAATTCTACTACTCCTTGTTTTGTCTTTAATTGTGTTTCTTTTTAGTACTTAATGTATCAGCTGCTTTGGCAGTGATGAATATGATCTCAAAGTTTGTGCATTTCAGTATGTCTGCTTTGGGCTTTGCTTTCGCTTGATACGAGGTAAGAATTAATTAAATATTTTCCAGGGCTTAATTTTTCTAAAGGGTCTTTTGAGTGACCACCTATTAAAAACTTCTTAACTAGGAAAGTTTTGTGGGCACAAAACGGACGTATCACCAAGAATTTAAAAAGTTTGTATGAGAAAACAAGGTCTCACTTTGTTGTCCAGGCTGGAGTGCAGTGCTACAAGCATAATTCACTGCAGCCTCAAAATTCTGAGCTCAAACAATCTTCCGCCTTCAGCTTCTTGAGTAGCTGGAACTACAGGTGAGTGCCACCACAACCTGGCTAATTTTTTTTTTTTTTTTTTTTTTTTTCTGAGACGGAGTCTCGCTCTGACGCCCAGGCCAGAGTGTAGTGGCACGATCTTGGCTCACTGCAAGCTCTGCCTTCTGGGTTCACGCCATTCTCCCGCCTCAGCCTCCTGAGTAGCTGGGACTACAGGCGCCCGCCACCGTGCCCGGCTAATTTTTTATATTTTTAGTAGAGACGGGGTTTCACCATGTTAGCCATGATGGTCTTGATCTCCTGACCTTGTGATCCACCCACCTCGGCCTCCCAAAGTGCTGGGATTACAGGTGTGAGCCACCGCACCCGGCCTTAATTTTTGTAAAGATGGGCATCTTGTTGTGTTACCCAGGCTGGTCACGAACCTCTGGCCTCAAGGAGTCCTCCCACCCCAGCCACCCAAAGTTCTGGGATATAGGTATGACCCGCCATACCCAGCCCCTATGAACTTTTTCAGATGATTTTGTTCTATATGCTTTTTCCTTTGAGCGTCAGTAAAATGATGAATGAAAGAGAGGAAAAGAAGTCACATGCTATAATATATAACTATTATTTATAATGTTTACACATGCTGTGTAAGTTGTAGAATGTTAAGATACATTAGCTTTTTTTTTTTTTTAACCTTAGTGTGTTTCAGGCATTTTTCTAAGTGCTAAAGATGTAGCTGATTAAGGCAACAGATGTAGGTGATTAAAGCACAGTGTCTGTCTTAAAGACTTAACACTGAGTTTTAGGGCAGGAAGTTACTGCTATGTATTAGTCATAATTATTTTTGATGAATTCTTTGCTTTTCTAAAAATATTCCACATTCCCTATATTTTTCTTACTTGTTCATGACTTGGCATCTGCCCTTCTTTGTCTGGCCAGTATTACTAAGTTTCTCCAAAAAATGCTGTCTTTTTGAAGGCTCAGTATTGCTCTATCTGGGCCTGTTGGGGACTTATAATTCTTCACTTAGCTTATAATTTTGATTAATATCTTGAAATAATTTATCAGTTTATCAGTTCAGGGTTAGAATTTATAGGATTTTTTCAGAGATAAGTTTCTCTCCCCTGGTCTTCCCCAATAGAGGGCAGATAATTACATATAAACATAGTTTTTTTAGTGCTTCCACCACAAGTAACACTATATGGTATTTGCCATAGTGAAGTCGTATGATTCAGAACTAAAATTAAATCAAACTTCCAATTCAATGTATCCTGAGATCATGGATCAGAAACTATTTCCTCTTTTAAATTAATTGCTTTGGAAAGTGAGACATCCCTCCTTATTTAAGGAAGCATCATCTTATTTATCAGATATTCTTTAGGGCTATCATTGACTAGGTTCTGTCAAAGATTAGGTAACATTCCGTAAATTTTAATTTTAGGCTAATATCAAGGGACTTGTTTTCAGATGTTCTTGAGCATTTATACTTATGTAGAAATTTTGTCTTTAGCTTTAAATGGCTCCTTTATGCTATTTTGCGTAATACATCTTCTCAAACTGTTACTTGCAAATATTTTAAATAAAACAATGTTATATAATAGGTAAAACTAACTTTGTGAGGATTCTACATAGTTGTAAGATTTTATTTACATAGTTATAAGGTGCCAAATTTATATCGATGCTTTCTTCTTTATGGTTAATTGAGAATTACTGAGTCCCTACTATGTATGCAAATCACAGCTATTAGCTGGATTCCTGGTTTTATATAACAAATTTAGTGTGACTATAAAGTTTCCAACCCTTTACTCCATGTTGTTATTGACTTAGAATCAATTGATCAGTCAAGCAGTCTGAAATGGAAATGATTATGAAGCATTAGCAACCAAGAAAAAGACTTTTATGAAAATTTAAGGGAAAAATGTAAGTTATAAGTTACTTATTAACATAATAGCTAAAATATTGCTTTATAAAAAGATTTTTAGCTTGTCAATTATATATATATTCGAGTGTTATAATGTTCATTATCTGGACATCTTAAAGATATGCTTTAATTATGTTTGGGAAGAGAAAATAGTAGTCTCTGTATCTGTCAACTTTGTAGAAAACAAAGTTAGGATCTATAAAGTTTGTTTTGTTATGATTTGATAAAGTAACCAGTTTCTTTCCTTATAGTTAAGATTTGTAATAAGCCTCCTAAGACTAAGTGGTGTTGTAATTTATTTTCTTAAATTATTTACCGCAGTTATTTGATACTTTTGCATAGTAAAAATAACATTGGCATTAGATGATATCCTTTTTGCTTTCTAGTTACTATAATAGAGCTGACTTCTCTACATTATTTTATTTTAATTTTTGATGTTCATCTGTCTTCTACCTCTTAGAGAGTTGGCTCTTTCTTCTGGAACTGGGTTTTTAGTACTTCTCTTATAGGTGCACATGCTTCCTTTATTCAGTGGAATTGTATCTTTGTAACCTTACAGCGTACTCACCCATGTTCTTCCTGCCTTGTTTTTTATAGTCTAAATTCTTTGTTAATTTTCTTTGATACTTAGAAAAATTATGTTTTAAATTTAAAAAATACACGAAAGTATAAAAATATGAAGATGTTGCTCAAAATTCAACCATTTCAAGTTAACATTTTGATGTATTTTTATACATGCACATATATTTAATACACACATAGATGCACACACCTGTGTGTGGTATTGCTGTACTTTGTACATTGCTTTTTTTAAACTTAAAGTTATCAGAAACATTTTTCTATGCCGTGAAAATCTCTTCAGTAAGATAATTTAATGATTACTTAATATTCTATCATGTGCCTGTATAATAATTTTTTTAATGATTCTCTAATTTTGTAAATTAGGTAGAACCTAATTTTAACTGTAAATAATAGCACTTTGATGTGATCCATAAATTATTGTCTACATTTTAAAAAGTTAATTCCTTAGGATGCATTTCCAGATGCAGAATTAATGGATCAAAGTATATGATTATTTTTAAGGCCATTGAAACATATTGGCTAGTTGATTTCTATAAATAATACACCTGCTTCTGAATTCATTATTTATATTTTAAAATTCAAAGTCTTTTTTTAATGTATCTGAAACCTTGACTTGGAATTGTTTTTATAATTCCTGGCATTTCGTGAACTCAAGGTGGGAACAGCATTCTGCCCATCTTTTGACTGCATATTCTTCTTGGAACAAAACCAAAGAAATATATGTTAGGGCAATTCAGTCATGTAATACAAGGCATAAGGTGACTTTTTCCCCTTATTGTGAGAAGTCAGTTTCCAGGGATTTAAGGGGGCTAAAGTAGATCGATGACCAGTGGCCTCGTGTGCTAGATTTTAGTATACTTTATACTAAAAATGTGCCATGTGGATGAACACAGATATAGGTATAGACATTCATAGATGTTATTTTTTAAACAGTTACAGATGTAATGCTAATTTTAACTTTTTTTTTCTACTAGGTTCTGTTTTCCAACTAGCCACACTCTTCTGCTCCTGGCTATTAACTGACTTATTTTCTATTGGCATCATTAAGTTTGGCAACATTTAAAAATGATTTCTGATTTTCTGTGAGTAAATCAATGGTGGTAGAATATTGGCTTAGTAAAAGTAGTTTAATCATTTTGGGCATATTTTTTATATGAAACGTAAGATTTTAGGTATATTTCACTTTATGAAAATTATTACTGCAGGTTTAAACCACTACTTTATCCCATTAATATCCCATAGAAAATACTTTATGTTCACTAAATATCCCATAGAAAATACTTTATGCTTCCCCTTTTTTATGAACTTTTATTATTAATGTTGACAGTTTCTATTATGGCATTAAAAACAAAACAAAACTATAGTGCTACTATTTTAAACCTAGTTACTGGATTAAATATTATAATAGCTCATTTGTAAGAATAAAATAATGTTTATTTTGTGGTAATTATTACTAAATCATTATTTAGACTTTGCAAAATAATATATCACCATCTTGGAATTATGATACCTTTCTCTTTTGGTCATTTTAGTTTCTTAGACCTAATTCTCTCTATTTTTGTTTGTACTTTTGATGCAGTTAGGGAATATTTCCTTCTGTGACACTTTTTTTTTTAAATGATAATCTCTTGGTAGTTTCTTGTCAGTGATATGAAAACGCTGCTATTACACCGACTTGAGCATGGGGATAAGTAGGAGTGTGTGCAAGTGTTGTTGAGAGGAGTATCGCTGCTCTTTTCCAAGCTGCTGGGTTACTTTGTTTCTTCTACTTTTCAGCTATAAACACATGTACATATTCACACTATGTACAGTTTCATGGTTCCATTCTCCCCCTATTCTTTTTCCTCTCATTCGCATTCTACTTTTTTCCTCTCCTTTTTCTCTTTCATCTCACATGTGTGTATGTATGCACATACACATGTAAATGAATTTTCAGGTGTTAAAAACAAAGATTGCAGACAGAGATCTAGATCCAATTTAAACGCTTAAGTTAAATTTTCTCTTTTTTTCCCTCCTTCATTAGATTATGGTCATCTGTAATATTTATGTCTTTTTATGAGCACTGGTTGTTCTGTCCCTTCACTGTTTTATGTCTCTTGGTGAAGAATAAGCTGTGAAACCAGATAAACTCTTAGATTAGAAAGTCTTAAACTTGAATATGCAAACAGATCATTTGGGGATCTTATTAAAAATTCAGGTTCTGATATAGTTGGTCTGGATGGAGCCTGAGATTTTTCTAACAAGTACACAGGTGATGCTGAGGCCGCTGGTCTGAGGTTGCATTTTGAGTAGTCAGGTTTTAGACTCTGGTTTCTTGCAAAAGAGTATCATTTATTTAGAACAGGAATATTTGGGATTCAAAGTCAGTTTCTTCATACATTAGCTCTGAGTCCAGTATCCACAAGGATGGGACATATATTTTCTTTTAAAACCTAATTTGTCATGTTTCCTCACTTTTCTTTGATTTAGGCAATTTTAAGGCATAAGAGTTTAAAAGATTTGTGAGTTTGGGATCTTCTGTGATGGTCTCACATATAGCTTCCCTAATTTAGTTTGCTACTTAGTGTAGACTAATGATGACATGTATCAGGGTTTTTGGTGATTTAATTTCATGGTATATTATCTCCAAATGATGGTTGAAAAAATTTTCTGCTGGGAATTTTGGAGTTCAAGGTGAAGAGTGGGGAGTTGGGAGCAGGGATGGAGTACCCAGGATAAATCTGAGAAACAGGTTACTGCATCGAAATGCTTTTATCCTTCCTCATCCCTATGGTTACCACTAGAAGAATCATGGACAACTGAATTAAAATGAATTACTTATTCAATGTAGGAAAATTACCTGATACATATGCAGGAGTTGTTCCAGTTATGCTTTTAAATAAGATGTCTTTTATGTCTTTTAAATAAAGAAATCCATAATTTCCTATACAAAAATGGACAGAGCTTCCAGCAATAAAGATGTATGTCAGAACCTGCATAGTGATTAGAAGGTGGGCTGGTTTCAGAAAGGAGATGATACGACAAAGTTCTGCAGGCTGGCCCATTATTTGTAATACAATAGTCAAATGTGACCATCATCAAAACACCTGTTTTTTGTTTTTGTTTTTAGAGTCAGGATTTCCTTCTGTTACCTAGGCTGGAGTGTGGTGGCACCATCACAGTTCACTGCAGCCTCAACCTACTGAGCTCAGATCCTCCCACCACAGCATCCTGAGTAGCTGGTACTACAGGAACACGTAACCATTCCTAGCTAATTTTTTAATTTTTTGTAGAGACAGGGTCGTGCTATGTTGCTCAGGCTGGTCTCAAACTTGTGGCCTCAAGCAGTCCCCCTGCCTTGGCATCCCAAAGTGCTGGGACAATAGGGATGAGCCTCCATGCCCAGCTACCTGAATCTTTAAAGCTGGTAGTTGTAAAGTTTCTTGGTTTACAACATTGTTGAGGAAAAATGATTAAATTACCTAATGTGGCTGGTTCCTGAGGTAGCAAAAGAAGTCACATACTCCAAAGAAAGATAAGTAAGAAGGCTTTCCCCTTGCTTAAGCACTATGCTTGAAAATTAATTGTATTTTAATTTAGGACAAAAAAATATTAAGCATAGATTTTGTTTTTTCAAACCTTTTCAAACATTATTTTAAATCTAGGTACAACATTTAAGTTATATTTCCAATCTTATTTGTCTGTGTACTTTCAATAAATACAGATTGCCCTTTCTTTAGTCAGCCTACATTTAAAAAGCTTATGTTTTGCCATAATACAGTAGAATTATTTGTGATAATGTTACAAGTCTCTAAACTGCATGAACATTATCCTGCTGTTTTATTGTTTTATAATGTAAAAGTAAATGCAAGCATTAAGAAATGTGCAGTGCTGTCAGGCTCCTTCAGGATTTAAGAAAATTGCTCTAACTATTGAAGAACTGAAAATAATCTTTCAGGTCGCAAAGAGCAGTAGTTATAATATTGCCGAGCATTTTGCTTTCTTTTTTCTCTAACCATAGTGGTGATTTGAGTCAATGCTGAAGAAATTTAGGTTTTATTTTATTTCAACAAACTGCTCTTGCCTTGTAAGAATTACATATAAAACAGGATGGTTAAAAATGGGAAGAAAATAGAGGACTCATTCTTAACTCTTCCTAAGCCTAAATCATAAATCTGTTTCTTGTAATAGTAAAAATTGTATAGCACAGCTTTTTTATCTGACTTGTGAATTTGATATAATAGGCACAAATACTATGTGTTAATCACAAAACTGTGAAATTACATTGTGTAGCAAGCTCTTCATAAAAATGAAACAAACATACAAACAAAATCTGAAAGCCAAAGCCTTCCCTAAAAGTTCTAACATGGGGTTTTGAATTTTTAAAATGAAAGGAAGTAGATATTCCTTATGGTTTTTAGCCTTTTGTCCTATATGTTTAAAAATATTTCCATTTAAATGCAGATTTTGATTTTCCATCTGGGACTAGGTAGAAGCCATTCTGTTACACTACTAAAAGAATAATCTACTTTAACACAATATTTCTCCCTAAAGGGATGGTCTTTTCTAGTCATAAGGTATTATTTTTCTCAGAATGATATTAACATTCATGATTTAGCGATTTTATCTTGATTTGAAAGATGTTTTGTTCGGCAGTAAAAGGGATTAGGAGAATGTCATGTGTATCCTATTGCTAAAAAATAGCCCTACCTTGCTCAAGATTAGGTATTAGTAATTTTTAAAGTGTTTTGGGGTAGGCATATGATTTGTATTTTTATGATATAAAAAAAACTTTAAGCCCAGTGAAATGGAAATTGCCAGAGTCATTAAACATCAGGTTGTACAAATATGGTTTTTTGAATAGATGAAGTAGCATGTTGGAGAATTTCTGAACATGTTGTAACATGTTTTACATTCATTTTCTTTATGCCTCGTAAAGAAGCCTTTTGGATATATAAGAAAATCGTTAGAGCAACTAGTTACTGCATTCAGGGGCATAGATATGTTTATTATGCCTCTGCATCAAAATTTATTAAAACTTTAAGATAAAAAGGGATTACATTAATTAAATGGAATGTCTCAGGCAGAAGAAGGAAGGCTCTGAAGGCCTTTTTGCTATTTGTTGGGCAAAGTCTTGGTGTGCAGAATGTAGCTATCCAAGGCTTAAAGCATATTGGGACCTGGTGTGAGATGCCAGCACCATGCCCCTAGGCACACTGTCATTCAGCCGGCAGATTAATTAACCAGGGGCTGCACAGTCCTCCTGCCGAGCCTCTTACTTTCAGTCAGCGCATTCTTGAGGCAGAAAATACGAGGGTTTAAAAGCCTGGAACATTCAAAAAAGTTTTTTCTCTTAACAAAATCGGAGTGTATACTGACAATTTTCTAGGAATAGTCTTGCTCACACACATACCTATGTCTATACATATACATGTATATGTATATATAGGTGTATATATATGGGTTATATATATGTTTGTATGAATATATATGTATATAATTTTTATCTTTGCATGAGTGAGTGATTTTAACAGATTAAAGAGTTGAAAACCCAACCAGAGTATGACAGTCTAACCTCCAGAGAGAATTTTTCTAGTATCATTGTGCATTCTTTAATATTTCTAATTAATGATTTACTAAATCACACTGGATAGCGAGTTCTTAATTATGATTTAATAGTAGCAAATTAATTTAGGCAGTTCAGAATTGTACTGTATTAACAGATAAATGTTTTAATTTAGTTCTTTTTACTTTGAAATTTTAATGAAAAATTGTTTTGCTTATGGGGTAAAATTTTAATGTTAATTTTTATTTCACTGTTATTGGAAATATTCACATACACTGTTAAAATTCAAACCTGCACTTATAAATATACGAGGTTTCAACAGTCAACTAGAAAAGATACATTTATATATCTGACTAATCACAACTATGCTCATTCAAATTTTCATTAAAATTACTGTTTATTTTCAGCAAGGACATTTCTATTCATACATACATAGAAATTATTGTGAGAGAAATAAAATTTTTATATTATAGTATTTTGCTTAAAAAATACTTTTAACATCTCTTGTATATTCATCTTTAGAATGAATGCATTAAATTTGTGTGTTTTCTTTTTTCAGTTTAGCTTGTTTTATTATATTTGACATCGTTAATAGCTTATAGATCAAATATTAGTGTCTGATTATTTTCTAAATATAGATATTACTGTCTGATTATTTTCTAAATATAGATCAAAGTCTGTGTTCATAAGAAAGTATTTTGTTTGTACTTTAAAATTAAGAAAAACAAGAAGATGACTAAGTGCAAAAAAGGTATGTTTTCATTTAAATTATTTTAGCAGTGTAGGATACAAGTTTCTCCCACCCCAACCTTTTTTTTTCTCTGACACTGTCATATTTTTTAACACTGTCACTAGAATTTATTTTGTTGTAGTAAATAAAAGACAAGTCATTGTTAAACAGATTTTGCTGTTAATTCAATGTATGATTACCCTTTGCCATAGGTACTTTTAAGGGCTTTTATCCAAAATAAAATTCGTTAAAAATGCAATTTAAAAAATCTATTGTTAATGACTGCTTGAGTGACTGGCTCATAATTGGTTCATTACAATAAAAAAGCAACTGTTTAAAAATCATGACAATGAGCTACAGTACAGAGTGAACACTTCATTGTAAGGCCCTATGTGATTATAGGATCCTGAAGGTGAAGCAGAGAAGCGTGTAAATTGGAGATTCCAGCACAACTTTCTCTTTTATACCAGTACAGTGAGTTCAGGTCGTGACCTAGCGTGGGCTGTAGAAGTAGGAACCCCTCTTATTTACACTGTCCCATGCCGAAGAGTAAACTCAGGTAATGTAGTCCACTTAAATGCTGGCACTCAGACTCTTCTTTGTTTCCCTTCCCCAGAAATCTTTACAGTTGACTTAAATTACAAAGTTGTAATCAGGAAATCTTTAGTTCTGTTGGGGCAAAACTAACAAAGACAATATTGTCATACAAGCCATCATTATTACTGCCCTCTTGTTAATGCAGGAAAGCATGTAAATAGCTCTTTTTCAAGCTCCAGAGTTTTTTTTAAAAAAACATTCCTAGAGATTTGCTTTTGTTTATCTATTTTGGTGATTTAATATTTGTGTTATTTTTAATTAATTAGTTTTAATTCATTTTAGTTTTAGGCCATGGTTCCTAAATAAGATAAAGATATAAACTTGATGATGCAGGAAGAAAAGTAAACTTTACATGATAAGTTTTTTCCTTAACAAATCAAAGTTTCATTTCTCTTTTTGTGTCTTGGGCTTGCCAGTGATTTGACATACTGTGTGTGAACTTTGCAGTGTCAAACTTTGCAATGTCAGATGTCAGCTGTTCTCTTTAGAGTATAAAATTTTAAAATACTGACAAGTGTAAATAAAAATGGTCATTAAATCTCTCTGCTTAGAGTTCCACCTATAAGGCAAAAAATCTTGATTTTCAACAGTAGTTTAAAGGGCTTCTTTAATGAGCCCTATATTTCCAAAATGCTTTTCCTGTTTGAGGCTAGAAAAACAGTAAAAGTTTTAAAGACTGATGACTCCTGCTTTTGTTTAGTCTACAACAGCAATATTAATGTTGCTTTTGTGTTCTGGTGACTGACTTAGGTGTAATTTTTCATTACACGTATTAAAAGTTGAATTATTTTCAACCCTGAACTTTAGACCAGCCCATGTGTGAACTTAGAGTATAAGCAAGACGGTAACTTCAGGATCAGAATCACTCAAGGCCACTCATATTATTAAATGCAACCAGAGAATGTTGATATGAGGAGTTTAATATAAATTAGAAAAAAAACTTTCAATGAGACATTCAACAGTTTTTAAAGAAATAAGACAAATTTAATTGACCTTATTGTAGCTTAAGTAACCAAACTGCTGGGGTATTTCATCATTACTCTCTTCTGTGCTGCTTTGCATTCCTCTCATCATCTTATTTTGTAAAGTGTGTATTTTTTTTTTCTCAATAGAGTTAAGAGGAAGTGCCTGCAAAGGAAACAACCATTTAAAGCATAGTAGAAATCACACTGCTTTCTGGTTGCATTTTTCTTTAAAGATCTAGTTAATCCAGTTTATCTTTACACTTACAAGCAAAACTGAGCAATGCACTTCCCACACTTGAAGCTGAAACAGCTTCAATCTACCTAACACTTATACGCAGTTGAACATGCAAGCTGATGCCTTTGTGATTTGTAAATGTAATTTGATAAACCATTTGGTAAATGGCTATGTCATACCAGTGCCAAATATTTTATACATGTAGGAATTAATGTAGCTGGGGAAACTATTCAGGTTGACACTTCACTGTTTGGTTCATGTGGATACCTGGTAATATTTATAATTTGATGGCTATTCATGCTTAAGTCTTGTGGCTTGGTAGTAGGCCTAATATTTCGGACCTTTTTTTACTTTGATATGTTTTATTATTTCCTCAAAGATTGCTTGTGTAGGCTAGAGTTCTTTGTTCACTGGCACTTCAAGAAAGAGGATCTATACTTGTACTAATATTTAAACAGAAATATCTTTGTATATTGCTAAGTGTTGAGGCATTTCATAGGCAAACAGTGATTAATTAAGATTATGATGTCTCCTGTGATGCATTAATTTATCTTTCCATTTCCAGGGCATATTGATTTTGAATATTAAAGAAGAGCTGCATCCATTCATTCATCAAATGTGTTCTGAGTCAGTGCCCTGTTCTGGGTATGGGATATAACTATCAATAAAAGAATGACCCAGATTTATTAGAGCTCATAGTCTAGATTATGAGTAACAGTACAATATTATATTGTTATGATAGAGGTTTTTTTTTTTTTAAACAAATGTTGTGAAAATACAGAAGAAGAGAAAGAGATCAGTTTTACCTGGGGATGGAGCAGGATGGGCAGTTGTAGAAACAGATGAATGATGATTCATCAAGAGTGAGAAGATGACTTTCCAAACTGAGAGAACATTCTATATGGAATATATTGATGGGACAAAACATGGCACATACCTCTCATAATTTGGTGTGACTAGATGATATATATAAGTAGTGGCAGGAGGTAGGAGTGAGAAGGTAATTTGGGGGCAGGTTGTGAAGAGCCTTGTGTGCCTTGCTGAGGAGTTTGGAGACCCCATTCTGTAAGTAATGGGGAGTTTTTGAAGGTTTGAAAGTAAAGAAGCAAAATGGATAGATTTGTATTTTGTAGTACTGTGTAGGAGGTACAGAGAGAGGAGAGATAGGGGCTAGGTCTTTTGAGATCTTGAAATTAAGTTATCTCAGAATAGAAGATAGTGACACTAAAAAGGGTTAAATCAAGACTGGATAAATTGATGGTAGAGATCATCAGCATATAATTAATAATCAAAGTCATGTGAAAAGCTTTCCTGGGGATTAAGTATTTCGTAGCGGAAAATAACTTGCTTTCTGGCACCTGGTTCCCCAGCTGCCACTTACTAGCTTTGTAACTTTGGACAAGTTACTTTACCTCTCTGTGCCTTTGTTTCCTCTTCTATAAAATGGAGATTAAAATAGCCTACCTCGTAGAATTGCTGTGAGATTGAATGAGTCAATTTAGTATTCTTGTCATATAGTGTTTCAAGATGAGAGACATTTAGATATGTGTATAAATTAAGAAATAGAAAAAGTTATTGAAGATACAGGTTAGAAAAGGAACAATCAATTGAACAAGATCCAGGAAGATTTGGAAATGATGGGATGAAGAGCACAGTGGGTCAGCTCTGAATAGAAGAATAAGGGTATGTTTAAAAATGAGAAATGGAATGATAAAGGACTGTTAATCTTACAGCTGCTGTTTTTCTCCATGGTCTTGGAGGCAAGATCATTTGCCTCATATGTTTGGAGGTGAGGGAAGTAATGAAGTGCTTTGAGGAGAATTTTAAATATTCAGACTGATCTTTTAAGAGCAACGAAAAGGGGACTGAGGGTTGTCAAACTGCCCTGAGTCCAGGTGTGGTTAGAAATCAGAAATGTGAAAAGGGGATGGTCTTTTTAAAATTTAACTTCAGTTAAATTGAAATGTAAAGTAATTATGTTTGGTAGGTGAGATCACTTTTTAGGAAGCAGATTACTTATTTACTTATAACAAAGGTATGTAACAGTATATTTTATTATGGAATATATAAATAAAGCATTCTAGGAATCATAGCAGGCAACAGTTGCTAAATTAAATTTCTATAAGAACTAACCTTCCATATTTCAGAGGGGAGGATACAAAATTAATATGAATTTAAATAAATACAGCTGTTCAAGGACTTTTTTCTGGACAAGAAATAACAAATGATGCAGTCACTTTATGATGGTCACTTAAATATATCAGTGAGGCCAGGCACACTGGTGTGTGTGTATGTGTGTGTGTATATATATATTTATATATATAATTATATATAAATATATATAATCAGTGATGAAAAAATACCATGCCAGAAAACAATACATAGAATCCAATAGTCCTCCCACTCTAGTATTAATAATTGTGCTAAGTAGAAGTAAGCATCTAGGTTCCTACTTAAATGAATTGAAAACAAAGTGAGATCTTAACAAATAAGTTAAATAACTGTGTAACATATTGTTGCAATTTTTCTTTATTGCATATAAGTTGCTTCAAGAATTACTCCAGTTAGCTTTTTTAGATTTTTCAGATATTCCTCTTTAAATGTTTTTCTGTATGTAATTTAAAAAGCTATTTTCTGTTTTAATTATTAAGAATAATCTTTAAAATACTACCACTTGGTTCATGTTAATATATATTACAAAGCATTAATAAATGCTCCAGTGTTAACTACTTACTATTCTTTAATTGATGAGAAGTGGAATGCTTATAGTTTAGATTCATCAATATAAAACAAACAGAACTCTGAATGGGAGATTATTTGTCAATGGGGCAACAGTGGTTGGCAGTAGTAATGTAGTGATTCTTGTGGTATTTTGTTTTGTTTTATCTCACTTTGCTTATTTTTTCTTTCTTTCTTTTTTCTTTTTTTAGCCTTTGAGAAAATTTTAACACTTATAAAAGGAGAATAGAATAGCATTATGAATCCTCAGTAGCCATCTCCCAACTTCAAAAATTTTCAACTCAGAGTACTTCATTTACAATGTACATATTCCTGTGATGTCTGGGTGCCGATGTAATAATGGCCACATCTTAATTATAAATATAGAGAAGTCCAGAATAGCAGTAAAAATTAAGGATCAACTTGTATAAACAGATGTTGAAGAAATAAGTTTTATTTTTCCCCATATTCTGAGCATTTTTAAGCCATCAATTTTATTGTTTTCCAGTTAGAAAAACTAAAGCATCATAATTCTAGGTCATTTATCACAGAGATTTAAGTCAAGTTGCTAACATCTACTACCTAGGTGATAAAAATTGAACTTCCCTTGGGAATGGTATGTGCTAAACTTAAATTGGATGAGTTAAGTTCAGGGTTGAGAACTGCTCTGATCCATTAAGTAGTCCTTTTTACCCTGCTTAGAAAAACTGTGGGAACCATTTTAAAATATAGCAACACTTAAAAGTACATGAACAAAATGAAAATCAGAATGACCTTCTACATTTTCTCTAGAAAGGTAATAATTATTAAATATCATATTTTAAGTTTCTGAAGTTTCTTAATGAACAAAAATATGACCAGATTTTTGTTTTATGGTTAACTTTTTAGTAACATATTTGCCCTACTTATTAAAAAACAAAGAAACAAATAACTGTACTGACTTTCCAATACTCAAATAAACTCAATGACTCCTAAAATTTTTCTTTAAGTTCTTTGTATAACAGAGACCAAGCCTTTATTACCAGGAAGTTGAAGAAAAGTTGTAATATGCAATTAGTTTTTCTGTGGTTTTCATCTTTTATGGAAACATAATGAAGATTCCTAGAAAAAGTTATACTTGTCAGAAGTTGATCCCATGTCGGCAGTCTGGGGAACTACTTGAATGTCTGACTAAGCTAAACTCATCTAACAAGAGGACTGCTCTGGTATTCATGAGCATCACTTTGCTAAAGAGGAAAGAAACAAGATATTAATAAGAGAGATTATTTTTAATAGAAAGTGCTATAAATGTGAAAGTAAGTCTCTAATGTTTTTCTGTATCTTATTATTACTGATTGTCATTATGATATTAGGGGAAATATATTGTGAAAAGAGAAATTTCGATGAGATGGGAAAAAGGGAAGAAGTAAATGAACAATCTTCTGAAATGAGAAATTCATAAAATATATAATCAAATAGTTCCATTCTTTTAATGTTAAAAATTAATTATTGGCCGGGCACGGTGGCTCACGCCTGTAGTCCCAGCACTTTGGGAGGCTGAGGTGGGTAGATCATCTGAGGTCAGGAATTCAAGACCAGCCTAGCCAACATGGTGAAACCCCATCTCTACTAAAAATACAAAAATTAGCTGGGCGTGGTGGCAGGTGCCTGTAATCCCAGCTACTCAGGAGGGAGAACCTGGGAGGCAGAGGTTGCAGTGAGCCAAGATTATGCCACTGCGACAGAGTGAGACTCTATCTCAAAAACAACAACAACAACAACAAAACAGAATAATTATCACAAAAAGGGAACACATACTAAAATCTGCTGACTTGTAGTGTGTTTCTAATAGAAACAAAATTATGGAAGATATCACGTGAGTGGCCATGTTGTCTTGCCCATATTTGGGTAGCCCTGTTATTTGTCAAATGAATAAATAAATGCCAGTGAACAAAAAAGTAGTTTAGCTTTCATGTCAACAAGTATATGGTAAAATAACCCATACTGCTTGTAGAAAAATAGGTTGTGTTATTATTCAAATCACAAAAAGGATTCTTGAGTCAATGTATACTTGTTTTTAAAAATAGCCCTAGTGCTCTCATTCTCCTTGATCACCAGGCAGATGCAGTTCTGAGAAAAGGTAGTGAATGTCAAATTAAATTGACTTGGATCATATTGAGCTCCTTGTTAGTCTGCTGAAAACATTTGCAAGGCGAGAGTATAGTCATCAACAACCCATTCATTGACTGTATCAGCGTGATTCCGCTTGTGAAAAGTATAAGGTTCAAGACTTAGAACAGGAAGCTTCTGATCAAAGGAGAGCCCATCACTATTTCCCTGAAGTGAGATCCTATCAATATTATATAGAGTGATTATGATACTGATTATATTGTAGCATGGACTGATATATTTATTATCTTGGATAAATGGAGGGCTTACTTAAAGGTTTGGACCAAAATATTCCTCATTCATGATAGGAGTAAACTTAGAAAAATATGACACCTCCTTTAAGATCATAAGCTGCACCTCTTACCTCATCAACTTCTTGACCTCTTTGCACTGTGGAAAACCACATCAACACAGTCTGTGTCGACACCTGGAAGACTGGATGATTTCTTTAGCAAACTGGTTGTTACGGGAATGGTACTGCCAGGAACCTCATTCTTGCTTCTACTGGCCTGGCTGCGCTATTAGCAAGTTACTTCCTGAGTTAAATGGGAAGCTTGCCAGCATGATACCTCTACCTATTCCCAACTGGCAGGCCTGCCAAACACAGTGGCCAGAAAGCGATAAAGTAAGTGTCTGATAGATCCATGAATCTTATTTCTCTTAGCTGCTGGAACTAGTATTTCCCTTAATACTTAAGTTTATTTGTTGGTGTCCTAATGATTTTGGTTATAACAAGCATGCTGTTGACATTAGGGGCTTGGACCCTCTATAGCAATAGCTAGGGAACCATCTTTTTTAATTCTTCCCTCATTATCTTCCTCCTTTCCCCAAAACACAGTGGAAAAATTCCTATTTCATGCCTAAACCTTTCCCCAGATTTCCATAGGAGTGGGATAGGGAATGGAGATATTTCTGTATTCTGTGTAATGAATAAAATTCGTACTTGCCCCAAATTTGGTAGACTAGGACAGAGGAGATACAAATACCAGCCCAATAATGCATTTGTAACCAAAAGATTAATTAACTCTCATAATCATCAGAAAAAGAACCTGGGGGGAAAGAAGGAAGGAAGAATCCCTCCTTTCTGAAGTTCTGAAAGTCCTGACCTTAGAATAATTTATTTGGTTCTAGTCATAACTTCTCAAGTGAAACTTTGTCAAGAGCAAAGGGAAGTGGAAAGAAATATAAGTAGTAGGGACAAGTTTATTTAATATCTGGTGTTCTAGACCAGTCAAGAGACAAATTTAGAAAAATGGAAAAGTATAGACTGGCTTTCTCAAGGAGTAACAGCTACTGGAACTCACTACTCTAGGAGGTTGCAGTATGGTGGGAATGGCTAATTATCCCATTAAAAGGAATCTTGTGGAGTCTTAAGTACATTCTAAGGCCTATATATTAACATATATAACGGGATACTTTTTTTTTTTTTTTTTTTTTTTAAGAGATGAGGCCTTGCTGTGTTGCTCAGGCTGTTCTCAAAGTCCTGGCATCAAGTAATTCTCCTACCTCAGCCTCCCAAGTAGCTGGGATTACCGACTTGAGCAGCTGCACCCGGTTTAAGATACAAAATTATATATACACTTTGACGGCATCTACGTAAAAAAAGCTATATGAATAGAGACTAAAAGGAAATACTTATAACTTGGGCTGCATTATTTGGATTGGTAAAATGTAATTAGACTTGGCATTGTGAAGAAGTTACAATATATAAGGTCGTGACTGTTGTTTAGAATTATATTTGAATCAGTAAGGATTATATGTCTATTCCCATTCCCATCAACAAGGACGCATGTACACTTCTCACTGGTGGCCATTTCTTAACTTTCTGGGAAGTGGGGGAGGTGTGTGGGATGGGGTGAGGGGAAGAAGTGGAAGAATCCTGGATATCCTTAACTTTATGCTTTGATAACCACGTGATGATCTGTGCAAAAATCTGTTTTTTATGGTAATAAAGGAACAAGAGAATTCTTTATTTTTCTGTCCCAAGAAGTGATTTAATTTTTAAAACTGACAGTAAGGAGGAAACAGTGAAGGAGAGATAGGGGAGTAAGAACTAGTACCAGTATAAGCTGATGACTTGTTATAAACAAGGGACCTGAAATATTATACTGTTGTTGTTTTTAAGCATTTTATCATTCTAGATCTGTTTCACAGCAAGCCTTTCTGAGGGCTGGCACTCAGGGACATGGTGAGAAACATTTGAGATAGTATTAAGGTTGTGGGTTTTTTAATTTCAGAACTGAGGGAAGTCTCTATACTCAATGGAGAGAAGGTGCCAACTATTAAAATATGAACTTGCATAGTGCTGTGCATAATAGTCTGCTCAACCTATTGAAAGTAAAGGGGATGGCTTGCAGATTAACTAATATTGCATAGTCTTCCTTCTAGTATTGAAAAAAGAAGAGTGTAGCTCAATAAGAGTCAACAATAACCGACTATTTTAACAGATGGAATCTTTCGGTTTGTTATCATCAATTCATGTATTTGGTGTTTCTAAACTTTTGTACTTACGTTATTTTTACACTATTGGATAATGTTAGTAGAATATTGTCTTTTAAGTATCTGTTGCTTTTAGGAGATGGTTTTGGAATGACATTGGATAATAACTAAACAAATTTGAATTAGATTATTTTTGTGTCTTGGTTTTATTACTTTTAGCTATGATTTTGGACCATCCTCTTTTCTCTCCATTTTCCTGAGGGTTGTTTGACATTTTTATCGATTCACAGAGTAAGTGGTCTTTTTCTTTTCCTTTTCTTCCCCAATAATACAGAGACTGATTAAAAGAGGGTATATTTTTACTTGTCGTGAATCAACCATGTTATAGAACTCTTGCTTTCTCAACTTCCGACTATGGATATGGCTATTTTTAAAAACTTATGGTTAACCCTTTTAGGGCAAGGAAACTTGTTGTATGAAAAAGGAACACATTTTAGAGAACAGAGCCAATTCTAACTCTGCTGTATAACTTTATATGTTGGTGTTAAAGCTAGTTTCCAGAATGGGTAACTAGTTAGGAATTTATTCTTGAGCAATATGACAAATAAAAATTTCACTTTAAAAATAAGTTCACTAATACCCATTTCTCATATTAATTTATTTAACAAATATTTGTTGACTACTTATTGTTTGACAGGCCCAATGACCATTTCTAAGAATGTAATGGGGAGCAAAAAGAGATGCACTGTTTGTGAGCATCTGCTTGGAGCGTAGTAATTAGTCTGATAATTACTAATTAATTATATAATTAGCTATTAGTATCTACAGACATTAATCAAATAAACTATCTAAAACATAAAATTGCAGCTATGAAATATGCTCTAAAGGAAAAGTACAGGAGGCTATGACAATGAATTTAAACTGATTAAAGTTTAGGAAAGCCTTTCTTAAAGAGGGGCTTCAGTGTAAGAGGTTTCTCCAAACAGGCAGCATCTGAATAAGTTCCAGAAAGAGTTTCAGTCTGAGAGACAGTCATAAGCAAAGACCTCTGGCAGGTGGGAGAGCAGCTTGGTGGGTAGTATTAGGCTGAGAGAAAGCCAGTGTTGCTGCAGTGCCCAGAGTAAAAGTTGAGAGTGATTATGTGAATGGCTGGAGAAGTAGGAAGTAAGTCCTTCTGGTGTTATGTACTGTTATGCATTGTGGTTTTAATTTGCATTTCTCTGATGAGATTGAAAATTTTTTTCACATGTTTACTGACCATTTTCATATTTTTTCTGAGTCATCCCTGGTCAAGTCTGTTGCTCATTTTTCTATTTGGTTCTCTTTATCTCTCTCATATTCATTGGTAGAGGATATATATATATATATATATATATTTTTTTTTTTTTGAGATGGAACTTTCGTCTTGTTGCCTAGGCCGGAGTGCAATAGCCCAATTTCAGCTCACTGCAACCTCCGCCTCCCGGGTTCTAGCGATTCTCCTGCCTCAACCTCCCAAGTAGCTGGGATTGCAGGTGCCCGCCACCATGCCTGGCTAATTTTTTCTATTTTTAGTAGAAACAGGTTCCACCATGTTGGTCAAACTGTCCTCAAACTCCTGACCTCAGGTGATTCACCCGCCTCGGCCTCCCAAAGTGCTGGGATTATAGGCGTTAGTCACTGTGCCTGGCCAGATTTTTATATTTTTAATACAAGTCCTTTTTCAGATACGTGTATTGTAAATATCTTTTATTTTGGTTAGAAAAATAAATTCAAGTTATCAATTTTTTCTAAGTAATTAGATAAGGCATTTTATACTGTGTTTAAGGAATCTTTCTGTATCACAAAGTCATGAAGATACTCTCCTGTACTATCTTTTAGAAGCTATTGTTTACTTACACATTTGATATATACTTGAAATTGATTTGTGTATGATGTGAGCTAAGAGTAAGGATTCATTTTTTTCCCCATAGGGATATCCATTTGTCTCAGTATCATATATTGAAGAGATTCCACTATACCATGTTCTCATCTTTGTCATAAATCAAGTTACTATATATGTGTGGATCTGTTTCTGAACTCTTTATTCTATTCCATAAGTTAATTTGTTTCTTCTTAGGCCATTAGAAAACTTTTTAAATTAGTGCAGCTTTATAATAAATCTTGCTGTCTGGTAGTGTAATTTCTCCAATGTAATTCCTTTTTAAGAGTGCCATAACTATTAGGATCAAGTTGCCAGTTTCTACAAAAATAATCTGCTGGGATTTTGAGCGGGATTATACTGAATCTATAGATTCATTTGAGAATTGACATCATCAGAATATTGAGTCTTCTGTCTGTGGATCTAGTACATTCCTCCATTTATTTGGGCCTTCTTTATTTCCTTTGTATAATATTTTGGCATTTCCTGTGTAGAAGTCATGCACATGTGTCTTTAAAATTATGTCTGAGTGTTTTTTGATGCTAGTGCCGGTATGTATTATTTGCTAGGGCTACCATAACAAAGTACCACAAACTGAGTGGCTCAGATAACAAATTTATTTCCTCACACTTCTGGAGCGTCCAAGATCAAGTTTTCTGTAGGATTGGTTTCATTCTGAGGCCTCTCTTCTTAACTTGTAGATAACCCTCTTCTCCCTAAGTCTTTAAACAGTGTTCCTTTGTATCTGCGAACAATGTCTGTGTTATAATCTCCTCTTCATAATTATAAGGATACCGGACATATTGGATAAGAGCCCACACATGTGACTTAATTTTACATAAATACCACTTTAAAGGTCTTATCTCCAAATACAGTCACCATCTGAGGTACTGGAGTTTAGAACTTCAACATATGAATTTTGAGGGGACACAGTAGAACCTGTAACATAATACTATCAAATTATATTGGTGACATATAGGAATACAATTTGAATTTTGAATCTTGACCTTGTATACAGTGGCCTTGCTACTTCACTTATTACTTTTAAAAGTGTATCTATTAATTGTTTTGGCTTTTCTACACACATGATCACATCACCAGTGAATAATGACATTTTTTTCCTGATTTTAGGGTGAAAGCCTGTAATATTTTACCAATAAGTATGGTACTTGCTGTAGGCTTTTTATAAACCCTTTTTCCAAATTGAGGTAACTCATTTATTGTTCATTTGTTAAGCAAGTTTTTTTTTAAAAAAAAAATCATGAGTGGACTTTGAAATTCACACACAGTTTAAGTGTTAACCATGGAGAAAAGTTGATAGGATGTATTGATTGATAGTTTTGATATAGTAAATAGTGGAAAATAAAAATTTTGTTCATATTGAACAATTGTTCAATTGAAGTTTTGTGTTGTTTCTTAGTTTCTATGAAATTTGAAAGGAATGATTTAGAGAAAACTGGGAAAATTACTTTGAAGGGTGAATTTCATTGAAAAAGTAAAAAATTCAGCCACCTAATATTCTAAAGATCCAGGTGTTTATAGTCATCAGCACTTGAGTAATTTTAATGTAATCTTTATTTCTTTAATTTTTGCCAAGTAGGCAGGTTATTGTTGTCTAATTTGTTTTCAGTTAATAATAGAAATGACTCCTCTAGATACTTTGCTTTGATATTTTGAAGTTTGATACTTGAAAACAGTGAGTATGTACAAAAAGTTAAACTGTGGATTATACAAAGTGTTATTTGGAGCTATTCAGAATCATTAGAAAGTATGTCTCAGATGATAGATGGTTAGGACTAGTCATATGGTAGTATTAATGGCAGTAATATTAAATAGTAATAATAACTAAAGGCAATTTTTTAAGCAATTAAAATATTGTAGGTGCTATTGCAAGTGATTTACATGTGTTAACACAGCCCTTAAAATAATTCTCATAATACTATTTTATCCCACTCTTTTACAGATAAGGAGACTAAGTAAGATACAGAAAGATAACTAGGAAGATAAAGGCCACATAGCTAATAAATGGTGGAATCATGATTTGAATCTGGGCAGTTGGTTCCAGAGTCTGCTCTGGAAGGCTATATTGTACGTGCTGGGATATAAGTCTTTAATTTTAAAATAGAAGATTAAATGAAGAATAGTACATTTTTATCCCAGACTCAAAAAATACAGCAGGAGCAACAAAAATTAGTTTTCCACAATATGACTTTGTTATTTGCCCGTTTATATGCTAGGTGCATAGTCGCTCTCCCTGCTGTCATTCCTAAACCATTATTCTAACCCCCATCCCAACAACCCTCTTCCTACACCAAACCAGTTCACATGCTCTTGATAGCAACACATTGTTTGGAAGTGAAATTAGATATAATGAAGAATCATGACCCTCAGTTTCCATATTAATAAACAGAGGTGAATTCTTTAATCTCTAAAATTACAGAATGGTTGAACCTAATCTTCAAGATTCTTAAAAATGCCTGAAATGACCATTCTGGTATCTCTGAATGTCCCATTCTACTTCCTCATCTTTCTCCTGTTAAACCTCTTTTTCTTCAAGTATTATGTATTTGAGATAAAAGCTTTTTCTGCTCATTTTAAATGCAATTATTTTTGTTATTGTTGTTTCATTACTAAGATTTTAACTACTGCTTTCTGCTCTTTTTCATTACAAGCATATGTAAAGGTTCTCACTAGCTCAGTAGTTAGCCTACGGAATCTAACCATCAATTATAATAGATTTGTGAAGTATAATTCTTTTGTGGGTGGATGTTTGCTTACACACTTCATACAATACACTCATTTAATATTTGTGGCAGTTTAACTTATTTAGAAACAATAAATGATCCAATTAGCTTTTGTTTGTGACTATAAATTCAATTTCTGACCAAGGAGAACCATCTCAAATGTGCTTTATTTTGATTGCAAATGAGAGAATGTTGGTGGATTAGCATGAATGTACTACCCTTGGACAAATAGTTTAAAGGTAGTGGCCTTTTTATGGTAGGAAATGGCACTATCTTTTTTAAATGTAAAAGATAGCAATAAAAATCAAATCAAAGTAATTTGTACATTTGGCTGTATATTTGTAACATTCTGTCTTGTGTCTAGTAAACCAAAATACTGGAACTTATTTTTCTTTTTTTTCTATACCTTTGCTCTGATGTTTTAGTGTAGCAGTTACAAGCCCAGACTCTGGAGCTAACCTGCCAGAGTTCTGACCCTGGTGCCATATGGCACTTAGTAGTTCTGTGTTCTTGAACAAGTTATTTAATCTCTCTGTACTCAAGATTTCTTATTTGTAAAATCAAAAATCAAAATAGGAATAAAAAATAGAAAAGCATACCTTATGAAGTTAAAGTGAAGATTAAATAAGGTAAACATGTTAAATACCTGGCAGAGAGCATGCATTTATTTAACAGCTCAATCATGGTTATAATGCTTCCAAACTTGAAAATCTCAGTCCGTGGTGGCCAGTGAAAATAATCCTTTGGGAAAGGAAAATGTTTCTGAATATTAGACACTCTTATTACTATAGATTATTATTACCAATTACCAGTGAAGCTTTATGGATTACCTTCTAGCACTTATATGATATATAGTTTTCATTTGTTAGCTGGTAGATATTCTCATGGCTGAATGAAAAACATGAATCACATAACAGGTAAATGAATAATCTTCCTTTATTGTCCTCTGTGATAGTGAATTTCATGCCCATATATCTAGTTAAACATTATTTCTGGGTGTGTCCGTGAGAGTGTTTCCAGAAGAGATTAGCATTTGAATTTGTAAACGGAGTAAAGCACATTGCCCTCCCCGCAATGTGTTGGAGGCCTTAATAGAACAAAAATGTGAAAGCAGAATTCCTCCTCTCTGCCTGTCTGCTGGAGCTGGAACATAAATCTTCTCCTGCCCTCAGCACTCCTAATTCTCAGGCATTGAGACTTGGACTGGAATCTACACCACTGGCTCTCTGGCTCTTAAGCCTTCAAACTAATCCACTTGCTTTCTTGGGTCTCCAGCTTGCAGACAGCAGATTATGGGACTTCTCAGCTTTCATAATTACATGAGCCAATACCTTATAATAAATCTCTTCCTCTCTCTCTCTGTCTCTTTTTAGAGCTATAGTTCTATAGATACATATAAGAGATATATATATGTACGTGTATATATATACACACACATATACATATAGATTTATAGTAATATATAAGATATATAGATACATATATCTTTATACACACATAAATATATATAAAAATATGTCTATACATATATTTATATGTGTATACATACATGTAAATTAATATATCTAGATATATACATCTACATATATAAAGATATTTATATGTGTGTATATACATACACATAAATCTCTTTTTAGATCTATAGTTCTATATATGAGATCTATATAGACATAAATCTATATATCGATATATATATCGAGAGAGAGAATCTGTGTGTGTGTGTGTGTGTGTGTGTGTGTGTGTGTGTGTGTACACCTATTGGTTCTGATTCTCTGGAGAACCTGAATAATATAACCTTATATTTGTGTTAACCATGGCAGGTCAGATGATTAACCGACAGTGCCACTAAGGAAGTATTCATGAGAATAACTTAACAGAATTTGGTTTATGACAGTGATTTCACTAACAGTCTCCATTGTAGAAAATTTTTCCTTATATACAAATCCAGTTGTTTTATTGTTGGGCAAGCCAGGTTGCCAGCTAACCTGATGGTGCTCGTGTTTACTCTGTGCCAGGTACTTTATGTAGGCGTTCATTAACTTTTTTGTCCTTATTGTATAATTTTTTACTTGTCTTTATCCTTCCATCCATTATTTAACATTATTTATGTTATATGTGTGTGTGTGTATTTCTCTTTAAATTTCTGCTAGTGTTTGAATGTCCTCTCCAAAACTCATGTTGAAGTTTAATTGCCAATGTAATGATATTGGGAGGTGAGGCCTTTAAGAGGTGATTATATTGTGAGGGCTCTGCCCTCAAGAATGGATTAATGCTATTATCATGGGAATAGACTTGTGATAAAAGGGTAAGTTTAGTCCCCATTTTCTCTCTGTTTCTCATGTATTTCCTTGCCACATGGTGTCTTCTGCCATGAGATGACCCTCACCAGATTCCAACACCATGCTCTTGGACTTCTCAGCCTCCAGAACCTTGAGCTGAATAAACTTCTGTTCTTTATAAATCACCCAGTCTGTGATATTCTCTTATAGCAGCAGAAAACGGACTAAGACAATTCCCAAAGCAAGCTGAGATGGCACAATGTGTTTAAGCAATGTGGCTTTCGTCAGACATCACATTCTTCCAGATATAATTTTCCAAACGGAAAGATGGCTCAACATTTTCTATTATTATTTTAGATGAAATGTTCTGCAATATGTTGTTGATATTGTAGTGAAGTAAATACTGTATGCTCAAGTCTCTCAGGGACCCTCATGAAAATGAGATGCATGTCCCAGGAGGCTATCTCAGAAAAGAGAAATTCTAAGTAAAATAGCATGAATGAATCGCACACATGAATTTACTGCAAGAAAATATTCTTTTGTATAATCATGGACCTAAAGAAATTTGGCACAGCAGATTGCTGTCATTATATGGCTTTATGTGGTCACACACATATGGCTTAAAAACATAGCAATTCATAACTGTTCATTTTTTGGTCAAATAGACTGAAGGTATTATGTTTTATATTGGTGGAGTATAGTTCATGTATTAGTTACTCACATTCATTTGGTCTACTACAAACCTCTCTTTATGACTGACAATTCAGCCTGTCTTCTTATTTGTTTTTCTTTTTTTCTTTCCTTCCTTCCTTTCTTCCTTTAGGAAGAGTAAGAAAGAGCCACAGGAATCTCAGACTTTACTGTGTAAGTGAAGTACAAATTAACCCAATGATTGAAGTGCAGTTGAAAAAGAGCTGGTGAGCCTGGAAGAGATTTAGGCCAAGTAAGAAGATAATTGCTCAAATAGTCTTGTAGCCTTGGGGTGTTTTCTTTACATTTGGGTGCCTCTTCTACATAAAGGGTTTTCTTCTGGGCTTATGCATATTAAATAGTTTTGTTTAGCTGTTTGTTAAAAATAGTTTCTTTTTGATACTTTTAAAAAGTAATCATTATAGATTTTTAGTACAGAAAAATGTATAAAACATTAAAAAATGTATAATCCAGGTAACTCTTATTAATATTCCTTTTAAAAGTACATTATTAGACAAATAAAACGGCACATGAAGGTAGAGAATTTTGTTCTCTATCCTCCTAAGGCAAAATACTTTATAGTTTCTGTATACTGTTCCAGAAAAAATGGTTTAATATCTAACCTTTTATTATTAGACAAAAGAGATCTTATTCTGTATACACTGTTGTATGCCTTAGGGTATTTTTTTACTTAACATTATGTTGCAGAGAACTTTCTAAATATTTGCTCTTGGGTAGGTATTTTTTATGATTATTCAGAAAAATTTAAACATGAGAAAGATATAGACTCATCCCTGCAAAAGATTATGAAAATAAGTTCTGGCTATAATTCTAGTTCATATTTATTATATGCCTAATATGCCTTTGAGTAATATATTAATTGAGTCTTGGGCTACAAATGACAGAAACAAAGTTAAGCTAGTTTAAGATTCAAAAAGTTTCAAGGACAGAAAAAAATTTAATGAAACTGGGACCAGGGATTGGAGCACTTTCAAAAAATTCTTATTTCTCATCACTGCTTCTCTTTGCTTATCCTTTCCATTTTCTTTGAATAGACAGGTTTTCCCAGATCCCCAGATCACATGGTAAAAAATATGGCTGCTCTGTGGTTTCCAAGATTATATCTCTCTGTTGAAGTGTCCATTTTAGCTTGAAATTGAAATCCTTTAGTTCCAATTTCAAATTTCTGAGAAACAGAATACCCACTATTGAACCAGCTTGGGGCACCCAGTATTGAACCAATTAGTTATTGACAGAGGGACATCATCTTACAAAAAAGTCTGTGGGTGCCACATAGATAGTGAGTGGTAAATAGATAAGGAGTTATCTGTTCAGCATTTTTTTTTTTCCTGGCAAAAATGTATTTACTACATTCATTGACTGAAAGTGAAAGCTTCTAGGTGACTTTATGGTTTGCTGTGCACAAACTTGCAGTATTAATTGTGTATTTTGGGGGAACTTAGTAAAATACAAGTCTCTTTATCTCTGAATTACAGTGTCTTTATCTCTCAGTCATATTTCATAATTCTGTTTTACTGATTATAATTTCCTTTCCTCATCATTTTCGTCTCTTTTATAGCCTCATAGAACCTTATTTTACATAATGTACAATTCCTGTTTTCTTTTTCAAAATTATGTTTAACTACTGATATGGTTTGTCTCTGTCCCCACCCAAATCTCATCTCAAATTGTAATCCCCATGTGTCAGAGGAGGGACCTGGTGGGAGGTGTTTGGATCATGGGGGTGATTTCCCCCATGCTGTTCTTGTAACACTGAGTGAGTTCTCATGAGATCTGATGGTTTAAAAGTTTGGCACTTCTTGCTCACTCGCTCTCCTGCTGCCATGTAAGACATGTCTTGCTTCTCCTTTGCCTTCCACTGTGATTCTAAGTTTTGAGACCTCCCAGCCAAATGGAAATGTGAGTCAGTTAAACCTTTTTTCTTCATAAATTACCATGTCTTATGTAGTTTTTCATAACAGTGTGAAAACAGACAAATAGAGAAAATTGGTACCAGGAGTTTGGGGCACTGCTAGAAAGATAACTGAAAATGTGGAAGTAGCTTGGAACTGGGTAATGGGCAGAGGTTGGAACAATTTGGAGAGCTCAGAAGAAGACAGGAAGATGTGGGAAAATTTGGAACTTTCTAGAGACATGTTGAATGGTTTTGATCAAAATGCTTATATGATCAAAAATAGTGATATGGACAATGAAGTCTGGGCTGAGGTGGTCTCAGGTGGAGATGAGGACCTTACTGGGAACTGGAGCAAAGGTCATTCTTTCTATGCTTTACAAAGAGACCGGCAGCATTTTGCCCCTGCCCTAGAAATCTGTGGAACATTGAACTTGAGAGAGATGATTGAGGGTATCTGGCAGAAGAAATTTCTAAGCAACAAAGCATTCAAGATGTGACCTGGCTGTTTCTAAAATTGTATGCTCATATGTGTTCACAGAGATAGTCTGAAATTGAAACTTATGTTTAAAAGGGAAGCGGAGTGTAAAGGTTGGGAAAATTTGCAGTCTCACCATGTGATAGAAAATAAAAACCCACTTTCTGGGGAGAAATTCAAGCTGCCAGCTGCAGAAATTTGCATGAGTAAGGAGAAGCTGAATGTTAATGCCAAAACAATGGGGAAAATGTTTCCAGGGCATGTCAGAGATCTTCACAGCAGCCCCTCCCATCACAGGCCTGGAGGCCGAGGAGGGAAAAATGGTTTTGTGGGCCAGGCCTACTGCCCCACTGCTCTGCACAGCCTCACAACATGGCATCCTGCATCCCAGCTGCTTCAGCTCCAGCCATGGCTAAAAGGGGCCAAGGTACAGCTCAGGCCATTGCTTCAGAGGGTACGAGCCCCAAGCCTTGGTGGCTTCCACATGGTGTTGGGCCTGCAGGTGCAAAGAAGACAAGAGTTGAGCTTTGGGAACCTCCACCTAGATTTCAAAGGATGTATGGAAATGCCTCGATGTCCAGGCAGAAGTCTGCTGCAGGGGCAGAGCCCTCATGAAGAACCTCTGCTAGGGCAATGCAGAGGGGAAATGTGGGGTTGAAACCCCCACCCAGAGTTCCCACTGGGGCACTGCCTAGTGGAGCTGTGAGAAGAGGGCCACTGTTCTCGAAACCCCAGAATGGTAGATCCCCTGGGAGCTTGCACTGTGTGCCTGGAAAAGCCACAGGCACTCAACACCAGCCCATGAAAGCAGCTGCAGGAGCTTTAACCCTACAGATCCACAGGGGTAGAGCTGCCCAAGGCCTTGGGAGACCATGTCTTGCATCAGCGTGCCCTGGATGTGAGACATGGAGTCAAAGGAGATTTTGGAGTTTCAAGATTTAATGGCTGCCCTGCCGGGTTTCAGACTTGCATGGGGCTTGTAGGCCCTTGGTTTGAGCCAATTTCTCCCATTCCGAATGGGAGCATTTACCCAATGCCTGTACCCCCGTTGTATCTTGTAAGTAACTAATTTGTATTTTATTTTACAGGCTCATAGGCAGAAGGGACTTGCTTTGTCTCAGATGAGACTTTGGACTTGGACTTTTGGGTTAATTCTGGTTTAATTTTGGGTTAATTAGTTAAGACTTTGGGGAACTGTTGGAAATGCATGATTGGTTTTGAAATGTGAGAAGGACATGAGATTTGGGAGGGTCAGGGGCAGAATGATATTGTTTGGCTCTGTGTCCCCACCCAAATCTCATCTGGAATTATAATCCCCATGTGTCAGGAGAGGGACTTGGTGGGAGGTAATTGGATCATGGGGGCAATTTCTACCCATGCTGTTCTCATGATAGTACATGAGTTCTCTTGAGATCTGATGATTTAAAAGTGTGGCACTTCCCTTCTTGCTTTCTCTCTGCTGCCATGTAAGACATGCCTTGCTTCCCCTTTGCCTTCTGCCATGATTGTAAGTTTTCTGAGGCCTACCCAGCCATGCAGACCTGTGAATCAGTTAAACCTTTTTTCTTCATAAATCACCCAGTGATATGGGTTGGCTGTGTCGCCACCCAAAATCTCACCTTGATTTGTAATCTCCATAATCCCCATGTGTCAAGGGTGGGACCAGGTGGAGATAATTGGATCATGGGAGAGGTTTCCCCCATGCTGTTCTTGTGATAGCGAGTCTCATGAGATCTGATGGTTTTATAAGCATCTGGCATTTCCCCTGCTTGCACTCATTCCATCCTGCCTGCTTCTCCTTTGCCTTCTGCCATAATTGTAAGTTTCCTGAGGCTTTCCCAACAAAGTGGAACTGTGAGTCAATTAAACCTCTTTCCTTTATAAATTACCAAGTCTCAGGTGTTTCTTTATAGCAGCATGAGAATGGACTAATACACCCAATCTCAGGTAGTTCTTTATAGCAGTGTGAAAATGGACTAATACAACTACTTAAGCTAGTTAGTAATTTCTGGCATTCTAAAGTCCAGAACCCATTTGGAGGAAGATAGTGGGTACAGGGAAGGAAGAGTCCTGGCTTAAGAAGCAGAAGTTTGGGTGTGAGCTTTGAGTTTACCGCATACTCATCATATCACCATAATCCAAATATCGCATACAATGGTAAACTGTCAAGCTTGTCACAGGCTCATTGTGGGAAGGAGCAAATGAGGTAATGTATGTGAGAATATAAACTCAAAGTATTATATCCAAACAAGTTATTTTTCAGCATTTGACTTTGACACAGGGAAAATAAAGCATGGGCAAGGAAGTTTTACCTTGCCAACTGATCAGTGACTAATGAAGGCATGTGATTTGGTGGAAGAACAATGGATAATTGAAACAAACAGCTGGCTACATTTATGATATATATCAATGAGAAAATTAGATTAGCTGTTAAAGATTGCTCATATCAGAAGATAATCCATGCTGATGTTTTGAGCAAGGGGTGAACCGTAGAATAAACTTGACTTTCTAATGACCCTATCTTGGCAAAGGAAAGTGAGTCAATTTAGTTGTTTTGACATGATAACATATCCTCACATACAATTTGTGTAGTAATGATTTAAACATTAATAAAACAACACATGGCAACACAAAAGATCTCAATCACCTTCACAAAGGTTTTCTCATTCTAAATTTCTGATGTATTCCCCATGTGCCTTCTAACTCTCACTTCTCTCTCTACCACCCATGGAACTTTTTGGCTCTGCTATTTACTAGCTGTGTGATCCTGGACAATTTTACCTATCCATGCCTCAGTTTTCTCATTTTTAAAATTAGGATAATCGTGGTATCTACCACAGAGAATTGTTGGAAGAATTAAATTACATTAATTAAACATGTTAAATGTTTAGAACAGTATCTGGGATGTGGTAAGTAGTCAATAAATGTTAATTTTTTTTTCATTTAGTGACATTTTTATTATTTTGCTACTTTCTAAAAAACTTGCTAAATTTTGTTAAATGTAAGAAATGCTTTCTTGCTTTTAGTTTCTGCAAATAGAATAGTATTTTCTCTTTCTATTTAAACGTTTTATTATGAAAGGTTTCAAATATACACAAAAGTGGAAGGAATAATATAACTAATCCAATTGTGATAGGTGGCTTCTAAGTTGGTCCCCAGTGATCTCTGCTTCCTGGTATTCATGCCCTTTTGTAATTTCCCTTTGCATGTGGGCTAGACCCGAGACTTACAGAAGATGTGATGAAATTCCACTCTGAGATTAGGTTACAAAAAAGTGTTTCTTTGTCTTGTATGCATTCTCTCCTGCTCTCTTGCCCACTCACCTTGAGGGAAATAGCTGCCATATTGTAAGCTTCCCGATGGAGGGGTCCACATGGCAAGAAACTGAGGGAGGCCTCTGGCTAACTGCCACTGAGCATCCTCATTCCAACAGACCACAAGGAACTGAATTCTGCCAACGGCCATATAAATGACATTAGAAGTGCATCTTATCCCAGTTGAATCTTCAGATGAGATCATTGCCCTGGCTGACAGCATGACTGCAACTTCATGAGAGTCTTGCACCAGAGATATCCAGCTACACTGCACTTGGATTCCTAAAGCACAGAATCTGTGAATTAATAAGTATTTGTTTTAAGCTAACACATTTTAGCGTAGTTTCTTGTGCAGCAATAGGTTGCTAATATACTCAGATGTAAAAATTATCAATATATTGCTAAACTTGTTCCATCACTATTTCCCTACCTCTTATTCATTGTTATTTATTTGTATAGATTCACTGAGGCATACTTTGAAGCATGCTCTAAAATTCACCTATTATAAGTGTACAATTCAATAATTTAGTTTTTAGAGTTGTGCCATCATGTCCACAATTACCATCACATTGCCAATTTGCAGTCACTCTTGCTCACATATCTCAATGCCAGCCAGCCACTAATCTGCTTTCTATAAGTCTGTAGATTTGCTTCTTTTGAACATTTCATGTAAATGAAATCATCCAATATGTAGTCTGTTTAGCTGGCTGCATTCATTTAACATGTTTTTGAGGTTCATTCACGTTGTACACATCAGTACTTCATTTCTTTTTATTGCTGAATAGTATTCTATTATACCAATATGTTGTATTTTGCTTATTCACAAATTAATCGAAAATTGAATTGTTTCCATTTTTGGCTAGTATGTGTAATGCTGCTGTGAATGTTCACATATAAGTTATGTGGACATGTGTTTTCATTTCTCATGAGTAGATATCAGAAATGAAGTTGCTGGGTTGTATGTTAAATTTGTACTTTCAAACTACCAAGCTGTTTTCAAACATGACTGTACCATATTAAATTTCCACCTGCAATGGATAAATGTTTCCTCCCATTATCTTCACTATTCGTTATTGTCTACCTTTTTGATTATACACATTCTAGTGAGTTTATATTGGTATCTCATTATGGTTTTTTTGGTTTTTTTTTTTTGGTTTTTTTTTGAGACAGAGTCTCGCTCTGTTGCCCAGGCTGGAATGCAATGGTGCGATCTCAGCTCACTGCAACCTCTGCCTCCTGGGTTTAAGCAATTCTCCTGCCTCAGCCTCTTGAGTAGCTGGGATTACAGGTGCACACCACCACACTTGGCTAATTTTTGTATTTTTAGTAGAGACGGGGTTTCACCATGTTGGTTAGGCTGGTCTTGAACTCCTGACCTCATGATCCACCCGCCTCAGCACTCCAAAGTGCTGGGATTACAGGCATGAACCACCGCACCCAAGCCTCATTGTGGTTTTAATTTCCATTTCCTGATTACTAAAGATGCTGAGTATCTTTTTATATACTTATTGGCCATTCATCTGTATTTTTTGGTGGAGCGTCTAGTGAAATCTTTTGCTCATTTTTAGTGATTTATATTCTTATTCGGTTGTTAGAAATTTGAATATACAATTTAATAGGTAATTTTATAATTTTAAAATTTTAAATACTTAATATTTAATTTTTATTATATCCTGTGTAAAAAAGCATTTTATCAGATGTATGATTTGCAAACTGTTTCAGTTCATGGCTTATCTTTTCATTTTCTTGATGATGTTTTTTAAAGCACAAAATTTTAAAATTTTGATGAAGTCTAATTTGTCCGTTTTTTTCTTTTATGGTTCGTGCTTTTGGTGTTTCTAAGCTGGGACTACTAACAGTGTGTTCTAAATATTTTGTAGTTTTAGCTCTTACCTTTACGTCTACAATTTTTTAGTTATTTTTTGTATGTGGTGTGAGGTAAGGGCTTAAATTTATCATTTTGCATCTGAATACTCAGTTGTATCTATACTTTTGTTGAAAAACTATCCTTTCCCCATTGAATTGCCTTGGAACCTTTGTCAAAATCAATTGGCCATAAATGTAAATACTTTATTTCTAGATTTATTTCTAGACTTTAAATTCTGTCTTATTGACTTATATGCCTAGTCTTACTTCAGTACTACTATTTTTATTATTGTGGTTTTATAGTAAATTTATAATGTTTATTAATCAAGTAGTATAAGTTTTCCCACTTTACTCTCTTGTGTCTTCTCTGCACAGCCTCAGGTCAGGGAGGATTTGAGGCTAGCTTGACCTTTCTGGTGACTCCAACATAATGTATGTGGTGGTTATCAACTTATTTTATGCTATCTCATTTTTCAGCCTACCTGTTAAATTCTTGTATAGTCTGAACATATATCGCTTCACCCAGCTAGTACTGCAGCCTCAGGCTAGATGAGTCACTGGTTTTTTCAGTTCGTTTGCCAGGAGATCACAGTTGTTACAGACAATGCTGCTGGGTGTGGGGATTTTTCTGGTCCCACTTCAAATCTAGTCAACCCTCTCTGGCAGTAAAACTGCTATTTTTCACAGCTTGCCCC
This sequence comes from Homo sapiens, assembly GCF_000001405.40. Classification (NCBI taxonomy): domain Eukaryota; kingdom Metazoa; phylum Chordata; class Mammalia; order Primates; family Hominidae; genus Homo; species Homo sapiens. The sequence goes on along the minus strand of NC_000015.10, from coordinate 35,482,065 downwards.
ACCTTGTTATGGGAGTGGCTCCAGGCAAGGATGCCACAGACTCTCAAAGCTCAGTCATTTTTCATTAATAACTTCTTAATTTGGTTTATACCTTTGGTCAGTTTCCAGATCCTTGAGATAGTTGTTTATCCAGGTTTATCATTGCTTTAGGGAATTTAGGATTTGCCAAATAATAAATCTACCATATTGAAATCCTACCTTATTTTCTTTTATAGCCTTTTATTATTTGATTTTAATATTTTAAAAAGTTATAAACACTTTTAAAAGAAGGTTAATAAAATAGCCCCCAGGTACTTATTAGCCAGCTACAATTAAGTTATAACCCATCTTGTTTCATTTATATATCCATTTACTTCCCTCCTTCTATTATTCTTTCGAAGCAAATCCCAGGTCTTATATTTCATTTGCAAATATTTCAGCATCTATCTCTAAGTGATAAGATTTCCTTTTTTAACATAATAATTACACCATAATCATGCATTAAAACAATTTACAGTAATCTCTTCATTACATATCCAGTCAATATTCAAATTTTAAATTGTTTTACAGATATCTCACATTGTTTTGTTTGTTTTTGTTTTTACAATTTTTTTGTTTGAATCAAGATCCAAAGAAGTTTCATGTATTGCAATTGGTTAATATGTCTTTCAAGTCTTTTGTAATCTATAATCTTCTGTAATCTTTTCTCTTCCTCTTTCCTTCTTCTAAAATCCTTTTTCAATAAAACAGGTTACTTGTCCAGTAGAGTTTTTGACAGACTGTTGAAATCCCCACAGTGCAGGGCAATGTGTTGCTTTGTTCTTTATGATTTCCTGTAACTTGGTAGTTGGGTCTAAAGCTCTGCTGTAGAATGCGGTATACCACATACTGGTATATAAATTTAAATTCTAATTTGTTAAAATTAAATAACATTTAAAAATTAGTTCCTCAGTCTAACTAGCCACATTTCAAATGTTCAGTAGTCACATGTGGGTAGTAGTTATCTTGTTACATAACACAGATAGAGCATTTCCATCATTACAAAAAGTTCTGTTGGACAACACAGATCTGGAAGTTTGATCAAATTCAGGTTTGATTTTTTTTTTTTAAAGAATACCCCACATATGGTTGTATGTTCTTCCATCAGGAAACATATACTATTTATATTTCTGATTATCTTTTTTGTAAATGGTGATATTACAATTCTATCATTCCTGTTTCATTTATTAGCTGAAATATTCCATAAAAAGAGATGCTCTTCCTATTATCTGGTTACTCAGTGGTTACCCAAAATAAGTTTATATGAGAAAGACAGGATAAATTCTTAATTCTTTTCTTACTTAAAAATTATATTTTAAAGACTATATATCCAACCTTAATTATAAGATGATTTAATTTCTGCTACTAAATTATGTTAGTGGAATTATTAAATTAAATATTAGTATGCTTTATGTAAAATATTATTGAGCTTGTTTAAAATAGCAAACATTTTATTCATGGATAAAAATGTTAAACTACTATGTTTTAAAGGCCATTCTGTGTAAAAGCCCACAAATCTATTTCCTATTTATATAGCTGGTATGGGATAGAAACCTACATAGCCTTAAGATTTAATTGTGGATGTTTATACTTCATCACTGCATGAGAGCTAACATTAGTTTATTAAATATTGGAAAGCTTGTTTTGGTGAAATTCAGTTTTAAAAATCATCATCAGGTCTCTGATGAAGGTCATCCTTACATAGGATTTTCTTAAAGAATTGTCTGTAGGCAACTGTTTTATAAATATTTGAGCTTGTAAAGTGCTTATATATTTGGCTGCAAATAATCATCTACCTAATGTTAGAATTTTTATTTAACTGTTGTGGTTATAAAGTTTTCTTGTGTCTCAAACCCATCCCAGGGGAAAAATTAGATTAGTACTATAAAATCAGAAAGTTTTTCAATATAAATTTTTATTTTGTTTTTTTTCAAAGTTTAATATTGACTTACTTCAGTTAATGCATGCCAAAATAAATTGTATTATTATAGTACTTTTTTAAACAAAGCATAATGTTTTCACTACTCAGAAAGATACACTTGAAAATATAGTAAATTGTAATTGTAATTCAATAATAAATATATTTTTAAACAAATAACTTACATTCTTGTTTTCTTTTTAGTTAACCTAGAGAATGGGTCCTAGTATTGTAATTATATTGTCTAATCGAAATGCTTTTGATAATGTTCTTTTCAATTAGAATTTTTAATATGTGTAAATCGTGCTTTTTATTTAAATAATCTGTTAACAGTCTTGCATAGATTTGAAGTTGTAAAGAGTTAAGAGAGAGAGTGTAGTGATCATTAACATGAGACCTGTAGGGGTCAAAGGGAGCAGGCATTAACAATTAAACCCTGTGATGTGAGAGGAGACCAGAAAGCCCTGGGGATCGCAAGAGGCAGCTAGATTAAGTCACCTCTTGGTGACCAGTTTGAATTTCATCCTGTAACCCTATGATATTTTGTAGTTGCTCTTTGGTGAACTCTGAAATTTGTAGAAGTCTTGGAGGAGGAGTCTTAACCTAACTTTAACCAGGGTTAGTGCTTGATGGATTCTTATCATCAAAAGCATTTCCTAAAAGGTACATGTTGCTGCTTGTAGCAAGCTGGAAAAGCAAAACCACTTCTCTGCACTTCAGATTAATTCTTGACTAAAAATAGTTATTTCAGAGGGTCTACAATACACTTTTCAATGTGTCGAGAATCAAAACTTTAAGATTCAGTGGGATGATCCTATACTCATAGGTAGACAGTAAATTTTAAATTGTTGGACTCCTTTAATTTATATGGGTCTGTGATATTTAGCTTATATTTGTATAGAATTGGCCCAGTTTTCCTCTGGTCACACAGGTCTACTTATTGAAAAGTTGCACTCAGTGAAAAAGAATGAGAATCTTGTTACAGTTGAATACATTATCTGGTCACAGTAGAAGAGAAGAATATAAAGATGATGGAGTGTTAATTTGAAATTTTCTTTGTCAGAAGGTTTGAGACTCCTGTTCTGCTTTATAAATGGATTTTTCATAGCTACTGCCCATTATGTCTTTCAAAGATAATTTTCTGTTCTTTTCAGATTTAGTTTCTTTCTTGCAGTTGTTACTAATATATCAGTTTATAAAATAGCCTTCTTCTGTAGTTAAAGCAATCTTAATTAGGAATCTGAGAATGCTTTGAAAATCATAATATGCTCTTAAAGTTTAAGGGGTTGCCAGCCTATCTATCTAATAATTGTAGGAGCTTCTAAATCCTCTTATTAAAATAATCAGGCACTTGATAATATGTATTATTTTAACTGGTAATATTGCAAATGACTATTGGTGCTCATTGTTGCAGGTTAAAAATGATCTCCTTTCTTAATTAATTTAGTATCTTGTTATAGTTTTAGACCACCCCAGATTTGGTTTTAACGGATGAAATTGCATTGAGTTCCTCTGAGGCCCTAGGTAGAACTGTGCAGATTAATGATATTGAATTCATACATACCTTCTCTTAACCATTAAATATATGGTTTACTTTGTATAATTGTTGAAATATTCTATTAGAAATAGTGTTGATAGTATTAAGTTCTTTTCAGTAAAACCTCACTGAGAATATAGCTTTAAGAATTCCATTTCCCAAATCCACTGCATATTTTTACAATCTTTGTGTGTGTGTGTGTGTGTGTGTGTGTGTGTGTGTGTGTATGTGTGGGTATGTGTGTATGGGTAAAGTATTCCTAGTGTTTTCTTTACATTTTTTTCTTTAAAATTTTAAAGATAATTTGAATGTTGAATATAGCATTTCTTCCTAAACATTGTTACAGTGGTAAGCAGTTGTATTTAGTTATAGGCTTATCAGTAACCTTTACACATAATGTGATACTGTCTGAATGTCTTATTTTGTTCAGCTTTCTGTGGCACTGATGAAGCCTAAGGCTGCTGTTTCTTTGAGTTACTGATAATTTTTTATCTGATTAACTGACACATTTAGTTGAAATCAGACACAGCCCTTAGGCTGGGCATGGATTTAATTTTAAAAGTATCAGAGGTTTGCTCTGTGTGCTATTTAATCATCATGTTTATCAGGCAAAGAAAAATTACCGGAAGGACCATAGGGAGAGGGTTATCTTAAGGAGCAGTAGCTTGGGAAATTGATAATAGCTACAGGGTAATTTACTGCTAACTTTTACATTCATTAAAATAACATTTCCCGCTAATAATTACAGTGCATGTAATATACTAATTAAATTGAAAGCATTATCACTAATTTTCTTTTTGCTGAACCCTACGATGGCTGGATAAGAAGTGAGAATGTGAAATTGAAGAAAATCCATGTAGTCACACCAATTTAAACAATTGGTTAGTTGGCCAGTGAAAACATTTTAGAGATAGAAAATGAATCACTATGCATGTTTAGAAGAACTAATTTTAGGCTGTGACAAGGAAATGAAATCTGTAAATGAATGAAATCACTGGGTACTGTAGGTTTTTAAAATATTACACTGGTCTGACCTATAAAAGTAATACATCTACCAGGAACCAATGCATCATACTATCCATGTGTATGATGGCACCACTCTAATGAATGAATATGCTGTGTTGATGGAGTACACTGATACCATGCAGCCTTTGCAGTACCTATGTTTGTAGTATACCTCTTAACACTTTGTATTATAATTCATTTTTTTACTTCAAAAAATATTTCGTGTTGTATAACAAAGTGCAACAACTCCAAGTTAATATTTAAGAGAAAATCCACTCCCCTCAAATATTCATTAAGAAAACAACAGCAAAAAAATCTAAAAAATGATTTATTTGAAATTTTATGTAATTCAGATAATGTTATACTTTGATATATAGTTATTGTATTAATTGTACATTTTAATCTAGCAGTAAACCTCTAGGGTTTTTTCCCTCCACTTTCATTAATGATATGCATAGGGTATAGTAAAAACTAAAATAATCATTTCAGTTTGTATGAAGAATAAAACCCATAATTAAGAAGTCTTGTCTTTGTACATATAATAAAGTATGCTACTGCTAAATGTCTATTGTCATAATTTGCAAATGTATTTGTTTTTGTTTTGTTTTTGAAAGTCTCATGTTGTGTTCATTTTTAGAGCAGAAAATGTTAGTGGTTTCCATGGAAAGAAAATATTATAAAAATGAAAAGAAAAGCCAGTGTTTTACTGCCTATTTTTCATAGATTATTTTTCTTAACATTTACTATTCTATAACTTTGTATTTGATGAATGTTTGACAACTGAATAAATGCATTGTTACTTATAATACACTTTGTTACTGGCAAGTGGAATTCAATCTCAAGTCACTTTGTCTTGCACCTAATTAATCATAGGACCTTGTTTTAAGGAAGTTTCACCTCTAACTAATGTCAGAATAGATCTTGATGAGTTTGTAATCATGAAGTTTCAGTGTAATTTTTTTTCTTCTGTACATTGACTATAATGTAGCAGCAACAAACTAAAATGGTCAAGAAGAAAAAAATAGAATCTTTGTGCTTTTGTGTGGATTTTTTAAAAACTTTAGATTATGTTTAAATGATAGTTTTCTAATTTTCTGGTATTTCAGAATTAAAGGTCATTTCTAGCTTTTATTTATAGTGATTTCTTTAATAACCTACTTTATAAAAAGTGAGACCATATTTCATTTATTTAACACAGCAGGATGGAGTCAAACTGAACCTTCTCAGTTCTTCTGTTTTTCCATTATCCTAACTTTAGGCACAACCACATTCCAAGAGCTCAGTTTTGGAAAAATAGGCATGCAAAGAAGTCTCAGTCTCTTATTTACTAATGAGGGAACTGAGATCCAGAGAAATTAGGAATCTTGTTTAAAATCCCACAGCTAGTCATTGTTAGAAATACATGCCTAGTAAGATGCATTTTTTATGATGAGATCTCGATCAGCTAGGAATATTTCTTACTTGTATAGATCAACAAATGGTTTTTATAATTTGAAATGGCCATATATTTTTTAAAATTTTTATAAATTAGCCTTCTCTTTCCAAAATATTTTCTTTTCTTCTGTACTGTTTGTAGAGCTACTCAGAGTGATGTCTTAATGTTTTGTTCTGTAAAAATATTTTTGTTCTTTTCATTTACTGTTTTGTATTATTAATTCTCTATTCATGTATCTTTTCTCCAGCTATATATAAGCTTCTTGAGGGCAGAGACTGTGGCTTATATCACTTTTTAATATTCTTCTCAGTTTAATTTTTTGTTTATATTTACTATTATTATCTTTGCTCGGCCACTCTTACCTCTTTGCTTGACTGCTTTTTTTTAATTCATTCTTTTTAACATTACTTTCTGGTCCCTCTGGTGCTTTAAATTGGGAAATTAAGGATATTAAACTATTAATGTAATACAACTATCAGAATAGGAAATATTTCAGAGTAACATCATAATTTTCAATTTCTTTAGCAACAACATCAGAAAAGTCTACTTTTCTGTAATTGACCATAAAATATTAAATCCATGACCAAAGAAATATATAATTCATTTTAACCAATGTTTCCACAATAGCATAGCAGTTTCTTTAATGGTCACCGGATAGTTGGTCGGTCATCTTATTCCATGCTTCATCTGAAAAGACTTTAGCAAATTTGGAATCCTGGCTCTGATTAGGTTCTCAATTTTATGATTTCAGATTTTGATTGTAGAGATAGTTCAGAGAAGCTAAATAAACATTGATGTCTACAGATTTCAAAACCACTTCTGGTGTTTGCATTTATTTCTAGATCTGCCTTACAGTTGATATGTGACTATTAAACTAGAAAATCACATCAGCAATCTCTTGGATATACATGCAGTTTAATACATGGAAATAAGTAAGACCTATAAAAGACCATCTCCATGTATTGTTTAACTCTTACTCTCCTTCCTCTCTCTATTTAAGAAAATATTTAATGTTTATCAGCTGGAACCAGGAAAGCTGTGTATTTCAATTAAATATACTTTACTAGGTCTGCGGTGGTTCAGTGCTTCATTATTCAGATGCAGGGGTGAAGTCTGAGGAGGATCAAATCAAGAATAGTGGTAGTTGTTTAAGCTTTTTTTTCCAGCTGTTTTTTCTTTTTCTTTTTTTCTTAATCCCAAATGTGATTGTATCCAAGTTTTTTATTATTGATTTCTTTAATTAATGACTTTTAAAATTATCTCCCAGATGTGATACTTTGCAGGTAGCACGAGGTACGGTATTCTAACTATTTCCTTCCTAGGACTGGCTTTTATATCCCAACTCTTAATATTAAAGATCTTCTGAATGTACACATTTCATGTATTTACTACTTTTCAGAGCAGTTGTGGGGCTGATACTTACTAAGTAATGCTGACTTATTGATGACTAATAAACATTTTAAAAATTCTTCATTTTAATTTTTTACATTTACGTAGTGTTTAAATATACTTTGAAAGACATGCTGTTGGTCAGCAATTTCTTTTTCTCATGGTTCCTAAAATGAATAGCCAAAAGATGATCTATGAAGAAAAACTGGCAAATAGATCTGTTTTTTAACTTAATTAACCTAACCATGTGCAGGTTACCCTTAAAAGAATTCTGGAAACTAGAGTCTGCCTTTAAACTTGCTGTTATGGCTATTGGTGTTTTTTATTTAAGTTTATCAAGGGCAAAAAAGAGTGAAGAATGTAACTGGTCCTCAGTATTTGTTTCTCTTTTGTGTAATTCCATATGTTTATGTGGCAGTATTTTGCTAGTTTTGAAACCTCGTGACTCTAGTTATAACAGCACTTCAGGCAGTAATATGTAGATCAGAGCTAATTAGAATTTTTCTCTTGTATTTTTCCTCTCTCTTAAAGAGGGGAAAAATTTAACTTGGTTTAGAAAGCAGTTTCCTGCCAAACTTGCTAAGGGCAAAGATTTAGAGGATTTTGCCATTGTTGATGTTGATGTTAATTTTTGTTTATTGAATGGGCAACACAGTCACTTGGTTCAAAATTCACAATGTTCATAGGTATATCCTCTTCCTATCCTACTCAGTTTCCTTCCCCCTCCAACCCAACCAATATTGTCAATTTCTTATGTATCCTTCTAGAAATACTTTATGTCTACAAAAGCTCACGCGCGCGCGCGCACACACACACACACACACACACACACACACACACACACACACACTGTGCACAGTGTTCTATCGCTTGCCTTTTTTGTATAATGTATCCTGAAGGTCATTTCATTTTTAGTAAAGAGCTTTCTCATTTTTAATTGTTGTGTAGTAGTCCATTATATGTATATATTATTTATTTAACCACTGCCCTACTGAGGAGCATTTAGGTTGTACCCAATCTTTTGCTATTACCATGAATGTCCTGGTACATATTTTGTTTCATGTGTGTGAATATATCTATAAGTTTTTAGGTGGAATTTATGGGCCTAAGAGAGTAGCGTTTGCAATTTTAATAAATAATTGTGATAACCCTAGTCCAGGTACACATATTGGTATATGCGTACCAATATATATACCTTTCTACTCTCCTTAATGCTCTGTGAAAAAGACAGTCTGATTTTTCATGAAATTAATGAATTTTTTAAAATTATTGAGATAATTGGGCAGTTTTTTGAAGAGGAGAATGAAGCTGGATAGGTTTTAACATAGTTATGTTATTTCTGATCTAGGCTTTTACTTTCATTCCCTTAATGAAAGGAACACATAATTGAATGATGTGGATTGGAGTCCTTTTCCTAATAATGATGCCTCTGATTTATTTGGTAAATGAATGCAAATAACAGTACTTGCTTCATCTTTAAAGCTGGTACCAGAACTTTTTTTCTTTCCTGTGATTGTTGTGGGCTTTATATAAAAATGAGACAATTCCTATTTATTGAATAATATCCATAGCATTTGTTAATTAGGTTTATATAAACTTGGATTCTGTTGTTACCCCTGGCTCCTAGCAAAGTGTTTCATAGTTTGAAACCGAGCATCTTAGAGATTGCTCCCACTAAGTTTTCATATTGAGTATAGGCATTGAAGTTGCTTCTATTACTTTCCAGATTTATTCCTAAGAGAATCAAAAGAAACTTTTAAGTTGAGGTGGTAGCCCTCAATTACTAACCCTGCATGTGGTGATACTGGATACCACTGAATTTTATGATGTATTTACTACATCTTTTTTTTTTTTTTTTTAACTACATCTTGTTAAGGATTATGTATTCTGGAACGTCTTTGCTAGGTGTTAAGCTCCATGAAGGTAGGGATGATGTCTCCTATGTTTTGCTCTATCTGGAATGCAGAGTATATAGGAACTCAAATATTTGTTGAATAATTTGCTGAGTGAAAAAATAGTCTGTTGGGACTTGTCTCTTGCTGATTTTTAGACATTTTACCTTGGCTAATTTTGTCTATTTTATTTTATCTTTCAATTTTCCTTAAATGATTACATACTGTTAAAGTTTTTATGCTCATCTTGGGCCTTTTTGCCACCTTTTTGCCTTCATACTCATTGTTAGCCCCTTGCAGGTACTGTTTGGTGTCCAGGAGGGCTTAGTCAGCTTAAATGTCTGTACTGTCATTAGCTGGCTATGGATTTGGCCAGTTGGAGGTACTGGGGAGATTGGAGGGCACAAGGAAGGGAAAACTGGTTCTTCCCTCTCTCTCTGCCTGGGTAGAGTCATTGCTGTTGCTGACCTGCCACTTTCTCCAGCTCCTATTGGACAGGTCCACTGAGCTTCCTTCTACAATGGTACCTGGTTCCTGGGTTCCAGTAAACTCTTTGTCCCAGCAGGCAAAGGATAGTAACTGCTTCTGCTATTATTAATCCGTGTGTTCCTTCACTGTCCCTCTTTGGTTTCTCAGTTCTGTCACCTGTGTAATCAATTCCCTGTCCTTTAAGAAAATATTTAGAGTATTTTATTTTTCTGTTGGACCCTGATTGATATAGTCATTGAAGTCCTAATCTTATAAAGTTCAACTTTATTTTTTTGTTGTTTATCTATTTTTTAGAGATAAGGACTCGCTATGTTGCCCAGGCTGGAGTGCAGTGGCTATTCACGGGCACGATTGTAGCACAACGCAGCTAAAGCACAACGTTATTTTCACAAAATGATAAATTAAAATAAATGGTCATGCTTTACATTTATTGTAGGGCCCACACAAATAGCTGAATTCTTCTCATGCACTTTTTTTGATTGAAGATAAGGCATTATACTGCACACTATGTGGATGCTAACAGAATCTAATAGAACTAAGAACATGTATAGAAAATAACATGTGTAAAGTATATCAAGAAATGTACAGAGTAAGAGATACAAAGGATTTAAATGAGAGAGAGCTTACTTCTGATCAGTAAGATCAAATATGGTTTCATAGGTTGTGAAGAATGAGTAGGATTACAGTAGGTGGAAATTGGTTGCAGAGGATGGATAGAAAATTCCAAATGGAGAGAAGAGTAAGAACAAAGGGTTGAACGAAGAGTAAGAACAAAGTAAGAAATTAATGTGTTCAGCCAAATAGTAGATGGTAATGAAAAGGATTTAATAAAAATAAAGGTAGATTAGAGAGAAAAATTTATTTGGTAGGTAGGGAGGTGTGGAGGGATTGATTTTGAGAAGGTAAATCTAATAGTTGTATCAATTGGAGGGAGAAGTAATTAGAAGTGGAGAAAGCAGTGATGGCTTCATTGACATTATTCTAGGGAGAGCTGAGAGGATCTGATTTAGGAGCACTGCAGTGAAAATGCTTGATTTTTAGTACTTTGTGACAGGATTTGGGGAATCTGTAGTTCCAACATCTCTCTGGCATCAGATAAGCACCCAGAGAGAGTGGAGAGAGTCTTATGTTACCTGTACCTCTTAAGCCTGGGTGATGCTAGTGGCAGAAATAGAGAAATGAGGAAGCACAGAAGGGTAAGGGAGAAATAAATAGTATTTGTATTGCTCTTTATGATTGAGCACCTTCACATGTTACATTAGTTGCCTCACACAACCCTATGAACTAGATATTATCTGTATTTTATGAAGGAACTGAGTTGATGAGAGTTAAGAAATTTGTACAAGATTTTGTTAATGTGTATGTTGTAAAGCTGAGCTTTTTAACTCAGGTCTTCTATTTCTCTATTTTTTTTTCTAATAATTCACTTTAAGTTATGTATTCTTGTGACCACAAATTACATCTCCTATACTAATTAAGATACATTTAATTTTGGAGGTATTTTTGAAGACAAGTTATACAGTTTTTAAAAAGTTTTTCTTTAAAAAGTACAGTTAGTATGTATAATTAAAGATAGGAGTTTTTGTTTTGTTTTGTTCTAAGTTCACTCCGTACTTTTAAAGACTGTGAAGCCAGATACATTTTCTCATGGCTTTGTTATTCTTGAAGTGGATAATGTTTCTGTTTGTTAGCAGAAGTAAGACTGGATTGGGAAATGGCCTATCAAATTCTGTCTGTAGTGGTGCTGCCAACGCGTTTTGTGAACCTGTGTAAGTCACGCTACTTTTGACTTAGGAGCAAACGTGTTACCTTTCTCCTTGATCCCACGTTCTTTTCTAGCAATTGCACCATCTCTTCACAAGTCTTTTTGAAATATTTATTTTCTTTCTCATCTCCCCTTTTCTTATCCTGTTTCAGTTCAGTTCCCGTCAACAGCAATTTATTAAAACTTCTCTTGTCAAGGTCAGTAATGACCAAATCCAGTGAACTTTTTTATTTTTTTTAAATCCCCATTTTTTTCATTCCTCGACCTCTTTGTGATACTTGGCACTATAGACTCTGCGCTTTAAAACCTCTTTGACCTTGGCGTCTGTGATAGCCCTTTCTTTTGGCTTTTCTGTCTATCCCTCTGTTCTTAGTTTTTATTTATTTGTTTGTCATTTATTTACCTATTTAGTCTTTTTTGAGACACAGTCTTGCTCTCTCACCCAGGCTGGAAGTGTAGTGGTGCGATCTCGGCTCACTGCAACCTCTGCCTCCCGGGTTCAAGCAATTCTCCTGCCTCAGCCTCCTGAGTAGCGGGGATTACAGGCACACACCACCATGCCCGGCTAATTTTTGTATTTTTAGTAGAGACAGGGTTTCGCCATGTTGGCCAGGCTGGTCTCAAACTCCTGACCTCAGGTGATCTGCCCTCCTCAGCCTCCCAAAGTGCTGTGATTACAGGTGTGAGCCTAGTTTTATGCCTGGCCTAGTTTTCTTTTAAGACTCTTCTTTCCCTGCCCACTTTGTAAATGTATGTTCTCGGGGCTTCATTCTTCACCCTCTTCTTTCAGTTTATATGTTTTCACTGTTTTATCGTATCTCTTCACATGGCTTCAGCTACCACTGGTATACACATTTATGTTACCTGATTATTCCTGTTTTTTGAACTCCATAACCAACTGTCTACTGGATACCTTGCATTGAATGACCTAAAGGCACATAAGATTCAGTGTCCAATTGGCACTCAACATCTTCCCCATGTCTGTGCATTTCCTATCAGTCAGTGTGATTGCTCTCTATCAAGTGACCAAGCCAAACACTTGGGAGCATTCTGGGTTCCTTTCTCGGCCATATAACACCAGAATCTATTACTCATTCCTTATAAACTTATGAATCTGCCCTCTTCTTGTCATAACTACTGCCTTAGTTTAGACCTTTATCATTTCTTACTTAGATTTCTTTAGGGTTCCTTGCTTTTAACTTTTAACTTGCTTTTAACTTTTAACTTTTCTGATCACTACTCCTATACAACCTTTTAAAAATGTGAGTTCAGCTATACAACAATGTCAATATACTTAATGCCACTGAACTTTACACTTAAAAATGGTTAAAATTGTAAATATTATGTTATATATATTTTACCAATAAGAAAAGTAAATCCAATATTTATGTTATCATGCTTGTCTCAGTAAATCTTCCTTTCCTTCCCTGTCAGAATGTAATCTAAATTCTTTACCATGGCCTACAAAGTGTGGTACATAATGCTGTTCATGCTGTGGTTTCTGCCTGGCCTGTTGTTGTTGTTGTTGTTGTTGTTGTTGTTGTTTTGAAGCAGAGTTTTGCTCTTGTTGCCCAGGCTGGAGTGCAATGGTGTTGGGTCTTGGCTCACTGCAACCTCCGCCTCCCGGATTCAAGCGATTCTCCTGACTCTGCCTCCCAAGTAACTGGGATTACAGGCACCTGCCATCATGCCCAGCTAATTTTCGTACTTTTAGTAGAGACAGGGTTTCACCATGTTGGCCAGGTTTGTCTTGAACTCCGAACACCTGTTGATCCACCTGCCTCAGCCTCCCAAAGTGCTGGGATTACTGGCATGAGCCACCGCGCCCAGCCTCTGCCTGGCCTTTTAGTCTCATCTCCTGCTAACTGTCCCCTTTTCGCCACCCTTAAACTTCCCATCATTCTTACCAGGTTTTTTTCCCCTTCTTGTTTTTTCTGTTACGTGCCCCATAACCTCTGATAATCCTGTCCATTGGGGTTACAGATTTGGTCCCTTAAGTCTCTTTGTTTATGACTATGTTCATGTTTAGCTCCTTAGTCTTGACCCCCACCCCAGAGATTTCCCTTGCTCCTACCGTGAAAGGGAGAATGGTAGATGAGGATAGAGAGATAATGGGGTATCTGTCTTATTTTGAGTGAGATATGACTTAGAGGGTTTTGAGCAGGCAAGACAGTTAGCTTAAGAACATGGAAGAAGCACTATGAGGCAGAGGCTGGGACGGTCTGTGACTCACCTGGAGTGGATAGGCAGCTCAGTGATTGTTCCCTGCACAGATATTCACCTGGTGTTTAATTCTACATCTCATTTATTATTGAGAAATCTGGGGCAAGTTATGCAGCTATTCTTGACCTCTTTCTCTTCTGTAAAATGAAATTAATAAAAGCTCTCTTGAAGGATCGTTACCATGATAAAATGAGATAATGCATAGAGTAAAGAGATAAGCACAATGCTTTGCAGATAGTTTCTTGGTAAATTCAGTTTGGGTGACTGAATGTTGAAGCAGATTGAAATTTGAGAAATAGCCTTACTTGTATCCAATGAAATATTTTTCAAGAAATTCAGTTTTATGAACTATGAAATTTATTTGATATTTATTTAGACAGCCTGTGCCACTTAACAATGTTTTGGTTAACAAAGGACCATGTATACGGTGTTTCCGTAAGATTATAATGGAACTGAAAAATTCCAATCTCCTATTGACATCACAGCCATCTTAATGTCATAGCACAACATTTTACTCATGTGTTTGTGGTGATACTGGTGTAAACAAATCTGCTACAATGACTGTTTATTGTTATATTTGAGTGTACTCCTACTTATAAAAAAAGATTAAGTGTAAAACAGCCTCAGGCCGGTCCCTCCAAGGTATTCCGCAAGAAGGCCTTGTTGTTATAGGAATGACAGCTCCATGCCAGTCATTACTCCTGAAGACCTTCCGGTGGGATGATATGTAGAGGAGGAAGACAGTGTTACTGATAACCTTGACACTGTTAGGCTAATGCATGTGCTTGTGTCTTAGTTTTTTTTGTTTGTTTTGTTTCTTTGTTTGTTCGAGATGGAGTCTCACCCTGTTGCCAAGGCTGGAGTGCCGTGGTGCGATCTCAGCTCACTGCAACCTCCGCCTCCCAGGTTCAGGCGATTCTCCTGCCTCAACCTCCTGTGTAGCTGGGATTACAGGTGCGCACCACCATGCCCAGCTAATTTTTGTATTTTTAGTAGAGATGGGGGTTTCACCATGTTGGCCAGGCTGGTCTCAAACTCCTGACCTCAAGTGATCTGCCTGCCTTGGCCTCCCAAAGTGCTGGGATTACGGGCATGAGCCACCACATCCAGTCTTGGGTCTTAGTTTTTAACAAAAAAGCTTAAAGAGTAAAAAATAAAATGTTTTAAAAATAGAAAAAAGTTTACAGAATAAGGACATAAAGAAAATATTTTGTACAATTTATTTATGTTTTAATCCAAGTGTTATTACAAAGAGTAAAAAACAGATTAAAAAGTTAATTAGTAATAAAGTAAAAAAGTTACAGTAAGCTAAGTTTAATTTATTATTTAAGGAAGATTTTTTTTTTATAAATTTAGTGCAGCTAAAACATACCATGTTTATAATCTACATTAGTGTACAGTAATGTCCTAGGCCTTTGTATTCACTCAACATTCACTCACTGATTCACCCAAAACAATTTCCAGTCCTGTAAGCTCCAACCATGCTAAGTGCACTTTAAAGGTGTATCATTTGTATCTTTTTAATTGTATTTTTACTGTACTTTTTCTATGGTTAGATATGTTTAGATACCCAAATATTTACCATTGTTACAATTCCCTACAGTATTCAGTATAGTAATATGCTGTACAGGTTTATAGCCTAGGAGCAATAGGCTATACCATATAGCTGAGGTGTGTAGTAGGCTATTACCATCTACATTTATATAAATACACTCTATGATGTTCATACGATGAAACTGCATAATGACTCATTCCTTAGAATGTATGCCCATTGTTAAATATCTTACAACTGTATACATTTCAATATGGTCCTATTACTGCAAATGAAATTTTACATAAACGATTTTTTTCTTGGTAGTAGTGGTTTAAGTATAGATTTTAGAATGTTATACTCCTGTTTATGTAAGTTTCATTTTAGTTATCTCAAACTAATCAAAGGACAGCTTAGAGAATGAGTTCAGAAAGCAGCTTCTGAACAGGTTAAACCCTACCAAACTGAGGTGCTTAGAAATGAATACTTCTTGAATGTGTTACTTTATTCTCCCAATAAGCAATTAGGAGAATAAAGGATTGAACCATATACTTTTTTCCTTATTTATTTTTGTTGCTTGCTGTTGTTTAGGCATTTCACAGAAGTCCTCAAAATATCACCTTATCTTTTATGTATTTAATTATTTTTAATTAATTTTAATTTTTTTGAGACAGAACCTTGTTCTGTTGCCCAGGTTGGAGGTCCAGTGGCAGGATCACTGAACAGCCTCAGTCTCCCAGGCTCAGGCAGTCCTACCACCACAGCCTCCAGAGTAGCTGGGTGTGAAGGTGTGAGCCACCATGCCTGGCCCCACCTTATCTTTTTAGCAAAAAGATTGCTTCAGAAACTCAAGGAAAATAAACAACTGTAGTGCTAGACTTCCATTTAGTTTCACATGTAGGTTGAATTTGATCTGGGATGACTTCATACTGTTGCAACTAAGATGGAGACTTAGAAGTAAAATAACATTGTTTTAAATGGATATAACTGACAAATTATTATGCTCTTCTGCAATTTCTTTGTCATTTTACTTTCAGCCTTAACAACTTTTTCCCCTATTTAATGAAAGCCCACAATGGGAGATAATAATACTACAAATTAGTGACCTAATATTCTGTCATGAGCTCACTGTTTAATGGGGGAGCTCCAGATGGTGATCATTTTCCATTTTAGAAATTTTTTTATATTGATGATTTTAAGAAAAAAACAAAAGATTTTTTAACTAGTCCAGCAATATTTTAATTAGATTCCTGAATATATTACTTGGAATTCTAAGTGTCACTTTCAGAATCATTTTATTTAAGATAATATTCATTTCTTTGGTTATTTTTATTAGCCTAGACTTGTGTAATTCTACCAAAGTGAAAAATTTGAAGTTTAAGGAAAAAGCATCTAATGCTATACTTGCCATATAAATTTCTCGCTTAGTTATCCAGGCCCTAGAACGTCGTTGGCATTCACAAATGTTTATTTAATAATGTTGTGTTACCAGAAGTCCAAATATTGCCACTCAGAGCTATAATGCAAGTGTGCTTCTTTAATGAATGGTTCGTATTAAAAATGTTAGAATGCCTTTCAGATGAAAAACACTTTGAATTCAGAAGATCATTTTTTTTCTCAACAGGCAGGAACTCATTAACAGAATAAAACTGGTAACTGAGGCATTTTTCAAAGAAAATTATATCCCCGATAAATGCAAGCTGCATATCTTCTTATCTTTGTAATAAGTAGGCTGAGTTTTCATTTATAAGAAAGGACCACTTGTTTTCAATTTACCTTGTTGGCTCTGTGAGCCAACATTTCAGTATTGAGACAAGTGGATATTGAGTCAACAGTCTAATTTGTGTCTAGATTTCTACCTTTAATTCCTTCTGCTAAACTTGTGATCATCACTATGACCATATGGCTGAATGTCTTCCTCATCTCAAACTCTGTATTGGTTGCCTTTTAGCTGCATGTAATATAGTAGAAATTTGCATATGAATAACACAACATGGGGTACATTTTATAGTAGAAGTCCATTTCCATCCTCATGTGTGTATGTTCTTGACACTTTAGTGCACTGGTTTTGAGAGTAGTCATTAACAAATCTTTAGGACTAGGTTATAAACTCTTACAGACAGGTTTACATTTTGGTGATTAGAATAGGACTATGACATATTAGGTCCTTATTGATGGGTTGTTTAATAGAAGATTCAAGCACACAGTCAGCTACCAAATGGAGACCAACAGTTAGGATTGTGAGGATTTGTTGACAGATAAATTATTTATATATCTTTTTAGAACCAGATTTGTTTCTTTGAAAAAAATATTTGTCAGATTTTATACATAAATGCTATTTTAGGGAAGATGTTGGAAGACATCAGTAGGAGCTGTTATCTGCTATGAATCTATTTTCTTATCATCTAGAAGGACAAAGAATCAGCATTTCTGACTGTTTAGTATCTGGAATATAATTTTTTAAAAAAGTATTTCCTAATGTTATCCTATAGGTGAGAATTGTCTCCCTTGTGGTCTGTTATAATGTATATAGACTTATGTCACATATTTGCCTTATTTTTTTTTTTTTTTGAGACAAAGTCTTGCCCTATTGCCAGGCTGGAGTACTGTAGCACGATCTCGGCTCACTGCAACCTCTGACTCCCTGGTTCAAGTGATTCTCCTGCCTCAGCCTCCCAAGTAGCTGGGATTACAGGCGCGTGCCACCACGCCCAGATAATTTTTGTATTTTTAGTAGAGACAGGGTTTTACTATGTTGGCCAGGATGGTCTCGAACTCCTGACCTTGTGATCCGCCTGCCTTGGCCTCCCAAAGTGCTGAGATTACATGTGTGAGCCACCACGCCCAGCCATTTGACTTATTTCTTTATGTGTCCATTCCTCTGCATTTCTTATCACTAGATTTTAATTTTTTAAGAACATCGACTGTGCTGTTTTCTAATGTGTTTTAACTTTCCTAGTATAGGACCTGTCACAAAGTGGGACTTTTAAAATTACTGTTTGATAAATATATGAATGATTGTGTCTGACAGCTTACCAGCACATGGGATAAGAGATGAATGTGTATATATATATATCCATAGGTATATTTTTAATATCATTTCCCTCTAATTAAGAAAGTAATACATGGGTTGTAAAAATACTTAAAATATAAAGTTGGAAATAAAATAGCAAAAATGAAATACTACTCAAAAATAAGAATTATTACACTTTGGTCTATTTCTGGTCCTCTTTCTACACTTAGGGCTATTTCAAAAAATACATATTTTAGTATGTACTTTATGAACATTTGCTTCGCTTAGCCTTATATCATTAGTAGTTCCTTGTATTTCATGTCCTTTGAAAATATGTCTTTTAATGACTGCTTTGTTTTCCCTCTTCCAAATGTACCACAGTTCATTGAATCATCCTTTTGTTTAGGATTTTAGGGTTTTCTAATTTGTATTTCACTTACATGTAGAATATAAATATGATAAATATTTATATAACTTGTGCACATTTACAATTATTTTTATAGACTGCATTTCTGGATATAAATTTGAAATTTCTGGGACTATGAGAATAAACATCATGAAGGTTCATGATACATACTACAAAATTATTTTTCAGAAAGGATGCACTGATAACAGCCCCATTGGTGGCATATGAGATTATGCAATTCCCCATACACTCATCAACTTTTAATCTGAGTATTTATCAAATTTTACACACACACACGCACATACTCGTATATATCTGTTTGACAAAAAGTATCTAATTTTAGCTTATATTTTCTTTGTTTTTTAAGAGGTTGAAATTAGTTATTTGTATTCTCTTAAAAATTACCTATTAATATCCTTTCCTCATTTTTACTACTGGTGTGTTAATTCATCCCATATTGATTTGAAAGACAAAGATACCCTTTGTTATGTATATTACCAAATGGTAATTTTATTTCTATTTATTGCCTTTGTTTTAGGTCATTGTTTAAGTACAGAAATACTGTAATTTTATGTAGTCCACATCATTCAGTTATAAATATTTATTTAATATTGTACCAGGTACTTTTCTAGAGCTGAGATTACAGTGGGAACGGGACCAAGTACCATCATGGAGCTGAGACAGACATTTTAAACATAAATATTTAATTTTTAAAAAATGATATAATTTTAGGTAGTACTGTGAAGAAAATAAAGCCAGGGCAAGGACATAGAAAGTGATGGTGAAAGGTTAGGAGGGATATTTTAGAAAGAGAAGTCCTCTCTGAGATATTTTCACAGAGACCTGGAAGAAGTGAGGGAATAAGCCACATAAATTCTAGGGAAGGTGTTTTACAGGCACAGGCAAAGGTAAGCCCAGAGACCTTGAGGTGGAAACAAGCATAGGTGTTTGAGGAGCAGTAAGGACTGCAGTGTGCATCAGTGGAGTATACTTGGGAGTGCAGTAGTTGGTGGTGATGTCAGAGAGGTTGGCAGAGTCCAGGCATAAATACCTTTAAGGCTATCTGCAAGGAGCTTGGATTTTATTCTTAAATAGAATGGGAAGTCACTGAAGGATTTTGAATTGGGGAAGCTTCATGCCATGGCTTGTGTTTAGAAAGATCACTCTGTTTGTGGAGATAGACTGTAGGGAGGAAGAGTGGACTTAGGGAGGCCAGTTAGGAAGCTATGGTAATAGTCAAATTAAGGGGTGGTGGTCATTAGGACTAGAGTGGTAGTAGTGGAGGTGATGAGAAGTGGTTGGAATCTGGGATATTTTTGGAAGGTGAAGCTCACAGAACTACTGATTGATAGGATGCACGTCATAAAGAAAAGAGAAATCATGAGTGAATCTAAAGTTTTTGGCCTGAATAACAATATACATGTTGTGCCATTTCCTAAAATGAGGAGCAATAGGGAGGATTTCTGTGTGGGATGGATATATGTGCTGGATCAAGAGCTTTGTTGAATCTGCAGCCTAACTCAGAATTCAAAAGTGTTTTACCTAGGATATCCAAATGCTGGAATTTTAGGGGGAAAATATAGCTTTCCTTCTATATAGAAGAGAGTAAGTGGTTCTTTGAAAAACATTACCCTGTTTTTTCTTTTTCAACCTAAATTTTTATAGCTTCCTTTGACATATTCTTGGTTTAAAGAAATGTTTAAGAAATACAAGAATATATAAAGTAAAAAGTGGAAGTCCGTACCCCCTTCCTTCATTCTCCACCCATTCCCACTCTCCAGGGTATCATCATTATTAGCAGTGTGCCATGTATACTTCCAAAAGAAGACTTGGTCCTTCTTTCCTTAAAAAAAAAAAAAAGATCACAACTAAGAATTTCTTTCATTGTATTTAAAAGACCAAAGGCTGCACTTGACTGATACATATACAGCATGTATGTGCATGTGCATGCATACTCCCATGCACTCCCAGTTGCAAAAATCAACTGTTTACTACATAGTGCTTCCCAGCCTCAGTGGAGGAACTTGAAGATTGCTGTGGCTTTTCTTTGTACATTAACAAAAATGTATTCTGGCTGGGTACAGTAGCTCATGCCTGTAATCCCAGCACTTTGGGAGGCCAAGGCAGGAGGATCACAAGGTCTGGAGTTTGAGGCCAGCATGGTGAAACCCCATCTCTACTAAAAGTACAAAAAAATTAAGGGTATGGTGGCACGCGCCTGTAGTCCCAGCTATTCGAAGGCTGAGGCGGGAGAATTGCTTGAACCCGGCAGGCGGAGGTTGCAGTGAGCCAAGATCACGCCACTGCATTCCAGCCTGGGCGACAGAGCGAGACTCCATCTCAAATAAATAAATAAATGAATAAATAAATAAGTATTCTGAGAACCATGGTTGATCATCTAGATTCAGCTCTTGGATTCTTAAACATTGTATTGATATATTTATTGGCTCTTTCTGAATAAATTCTTGGTATAACTGTTCTTTTGCCTACAGATAGGTGTGGAAATAGTTCTAGTAATGAACCTTTTTTTTTTTTTTTTTTACCAGTTTGTGAGTATCTCTTTGCTTTAGGAAGTGCCGTCTCTATTGTTAAAATTGTCGACATAGGTCAGACAGCTGCCTGGACTAGCTTCCCAGCAATCCTGCAGGTGTGATTCATATTGACAGAGATTGGAGAAGAAAAGTATTCTAAGCAACAAATGGGCCTGTGATGCCTGCTTGTCTAATTTGGTCATAGTTAACTTTGTAAGAATCTGTTAATGTCCGATATTTACAAAGTGAGGAAGATAATGATAATCCACCTCAGAGCGTTGTTGAGAGCAGTAACTAATACTAATATAAATGTTTAATGACATTATGCACTGCTATTTCTAATACTCAGTGATGCTACTGCTGACTTTATTTCCTGAGATGAACTTATATATCATCATTTATAGTGATAATGGCCTAAGCAGAATAGTCTCACTTGTGTCGGAGAGCCCCTGTGGTTTAGCAATGTGCCAGCCTATTTAGGGTCCAGTCTTTGTCTCTAAGTTCTCAGTTACTAGCATTATTATCTTTAATTTCTATTTTCTTCCCGTTTGGTCTCTACTACTTGATTAGCTTTTGGTTATCTTCATGACAAGAATGTAATTTAATATGAATTAAAATCTCCAAATTCTATTAAATTTAGTAATAAATATTCATTCACTGATTAATTATACTTTTTTTTCCTCTGAGGATCTGAAATTCATTCTTTGAAGAACTGGCAGTGTATGTGTCTTTCCTTCAGATGTTTATTCTTTTTTCTGTTAATCATGACTGCAGCTTTCTCCTAAATGGTCATAATCAACCCCCTAATGGTAAAATACAATGGTTTTGTTGAAGTTTCTATAGCATATGGTACTATGTCAGTAAGAAAGAGCACAGCTGTGGTTGGTAGATGGTCCTTAATTTAAAGGCTTGGTGTTTTATTTACCAGCTTTGTTAACTTGAATGGGTTAATCACCTTGGTTTTTTCACATATGAAATCAGTTTAATAGTATTTTGGATTGTTATGAGGAATAACTGAAATAAGATAAACAAAGTACCTAACATAAATCTTAGTGCATACTGGGTACTTGGTAATGTTGTTACTTTGTCCTTGCCTTTTCATCAAAATTTTCTGTATATTTGTGCACACAGTTACTTTATCCTGATTATATCTTCTGTCATTATGACCACTCTTTTCGAACGTCTTCACTGGGTTTTCCTTCCCTTACCTCTCCTTACATGTTGGTGTACCCCCGGTGTCTTCCACTCAGCCCTCTTCTCACCCTATATCCTATTTCTTGAGGTTCTTGTTTGCTCCCGTGGCTTCAAGTATATACTGACAACACCCACATATATTCCTATACTGTCTTGAGCACCAGAGTTGTATTCAGTGTACCTAATAGTCTTATCTATTTGGATAGTGCTATAAACTAATTATGCCCCCCAACCCAAATTCATATGTTGAAGCCCTAGCCTCACATGTGATGGTATTTGGAGATGTATTTGGATGGTATTTGGATCTCCTTTGGGAGATAATTAGGTTTAGATGAGGTTATGAAAGTGAGGCCCTCATGATAGAATTAGTATCCTTGTAAGAAAAGACACCAGAAAGGAGTTTGCACTTTCTCCCTGCCACCCCTGGAACCATGTGAAGACACAGCAAGATGACGATCATCTACAAGGCAGGAAGAGAAGCCTTAAGAGAGTCCCAGAGAATTCATGCTGGCATCTTGAGCTTAGACTTCTGGCCTCCATAACTGTGAGAAAGTAAATTTCTGTTGTTTAAGCAACCCAGTCTACATGGTATTTTGTTGTGACAGTATGAGCCACACAAAGATACCTAGCAAACAAATTGAATACAACATATGCAAAACTAAATAAACAGAGTATTTTCTTTTAAAACATGTATATATTTTCTTTCTCAGTTAATAGTCATTTAAGGTAGAAACATTGGTCCCATTCTTTAGGTTCTCTCCTTATCTCTCTCCAGGTTTGAAGGGAGAATTGGGCTGCAAGGGGCACGGGAACTGTTTGGGAATAACTGAAATGATGTCTATCTTGATTACAGTACCAGTTTCACTGGTTTTGATCCAAAAGGATTGCATTATGTATTTTAACTGTATGCAGTTGATTGTACATGATTATACCTCAGTTGAGTTGGTTTAAAAAATTTGTAGGGATAGGGTCCCAGAGTCTATATTACTAATTTCCTGTAGCATACTTGGTTTTATTTCAGCTATGACACAAGGTGATTCATTTGGCTGTCTTTATGCTGTCTCAGTACATCTTTTATGGTAGTAGCCATTCTCTTTTTTTCTCTGCTGACACTTCCATTGCTATTGTTTATTTACTGACTTTTTCTCCCAAATGATATGGGTCAGGGATCAGGACCCGAACCTAGCTATGTCTTTTCTAAGGCGTAGATTGACTATGTGGTAGATCTTTATCTTTTAAATATCTATTTTGCCCTTTATTTGTAGTTGCGTTCAAAATGATTAAGGAATCAGCAGAAGTCATTCTTATCCCTGGATTATTCAGGTCTCACTGTGCTGGAAAACTGTGTTGCAACTCTACCTAGAGTTGCGTGTCAAGGGTTAGTAGGCTAGTCTTGAGAAGTCATAATGAGAAAGAGTGTTAAAACCCATGAGTGAAGGGCTTTGTCCATCAAAATGAAAGAGTTAGGTTTTTATCCAGTAGTAGCAGTACGGTCAGCCCTCTGTATCCACGGATTCACATCCACGGATTCAACCCACTGTAGATAAAAAATATTATGAGGAAGAACCAATAAAAAATAAGAATACAAAAATAAAAATACAAATTTTAAAAATACAGTATGGCAGCTATTTACATAGCATTTACCTTGTATTTGGGTATTATAAGTAATCTGGAGACTAAAGTTTATGCAAGGATATGCATTGGTTATATGCAAATACTATACTATCTTATATTAATGGACTTGAGAATCTGTGGATTTTGATTTGAGGGGGATTTCTGGAAACAATCCCCCACTGATAATGAGAGATGACTGTAGTAGTAGTCAGTAGTAGTAATAGTAGAAGTAGTAACACAGGTAGTTATAGAAGTAATAGGAATAGTAAAGATCATAATAATGAAAGAAGAAAATATTTGCTGAATGCTTACCAGGTGCTGGATACTGTGTTATTTGCCTGAATTATTTTATTCAATCTCCATAGTAACCTTGGAAAATAGGAATTGATATTTTTTGTCTTCACTTTATAGGTGAGGAAACAGACACAGAGAAATTCAGTAACATTCAAAATCACAGAGCTAGTAACAGGGCTGGATTTCTACCAGGCAGTAGTAATTACAGTTATTGGGCCAGGTGTGGTGGCTCACACCTGTAATCCCAGCAATTTGGGAGGCCAAGGCAGGCAAATCACTTAAGGTCAGGAGTTCAAGACCAGCCTGGGCAACATGGCAAAATCTTGTCTCTACTAAAATACAAAAATTAGCTGGGCTTCCTGACACAACACATGCCTGTAATCCCAGCTCCTCAGGAGGCTGAGGCACAAGAATCACTTGAACCCAGGAGGCCTCAAAAAAAAATTATTGAACAAATACAACTGATGGTCTGTATATAGGCTCAGTGTTGAAGAATAGTCAGAGTTTACTTAGTGCTGATTAGTTAAGTGTTATCAAACAAAAAATAAAATAAATGGGGCCAGGCACGATGGCTCAAGCTTGTCATCCCAGCACTTTGGGAGGCCAAGGCGGGCAGATCAGTTGAGTCCAGGAGTTCGAGACCAGCCTGGGCAACACAGTGAAACCCCATCTCTACTAAAAATAGAAAAAAATAGCTGGGCATGGTGGTACACGTCTGTAGTCCCAGTTACTCTGGAGGCTGAGGCAGAAGAATCGCTTGAACCCTGGAGCTGAGATCACCCCACTGCACTCCAGCCTGGGCAGCAGAGGGAGTGAGACTCTGTCTCTAAATAAGTAAATAAATAAAAATTAAAAATACATGAAATAAAATGAAATAGATGGGAGTAGAAGATAATTCCAGAGAATGCATGTATACAAAGAAGAAATTGTTTTAGGGTTGTGATGAGCATTAACTAAAAATCATAGCACACTAGTGAATGGCAAATGGATAATAAATTCCAATTATTATTTTAATAGTAATTTGACAGCCAGGCACAGTGGCTCACGCCTGTAATCCCAGCACTTTGGGAGGCCGAGGCAGGTGGATCACCAGGTCAGGAGTTCGAGACCAGCCTGGCCAATATGGTGAAACCCCGTCTCTACTAAAAATACAAAACTTAGCTGGGCGTGGTGGCACACACCTGTAGTCCCAGCTAGTCGGGAGGCTGAGGCAGAAGAATCGCTTGAACCCTGGAGGCGGAGGTTGCAGTGAGCTGAGATCGTGCCACTGCACTCCAGCCTGGGTGGCAGAGCAAGACTCCATCTCAAAAAAAAAATAATAATAAATAAATAAATAAATATATATATATATATAGTAATTTGACTTAGTTAAGGAAGAAAACAACAGTGGCTTTTGTCTTTGTTTCCATGATCTCTAGAGAAATACACACACTCCTATACATCTATAATATTTAGTACTTCATTATTTTTATAGCAGAACTTCAGATAAACATCTATATGATATAGGAATATAACTAAAATTTTGATAACATTATTCAGCAACTCTGATCTATACTGTATTTACATTTAATAAGGAACTCTATGTCATGACTTTTTCTAATGAATACAAAGACTTTCATGAAAACAAAAATGGCTAGGAAGGTTAGGGAAAGGTTATAAGCAAATGTTCTCACAAAGTTGCTGAAATAGGAAAGTAAAGGAAATAGCTCTTTTCCTGACACCTTATCTGATAAAAATAATCGTTTTATTTTGGGGTGATTTGGGCAGGTATTTCTCCATCATTTTGGAGGGCAAATTTTAAATCGACTTTAAAGACATAAAAAATTCCTTTTTTGCATTTTTGTTTATTTATTATGGCATCCTTTTAGGTACACAGGGTTATTTCAGTATGACTTGAAATATTAACTTTTGTTTGATGTGAAACACTTTTGTTTTTCTTTCTAGTTGTCCAAGTTTGGTAAGACCAGAGTATTCATGATGAAGCGATCTCTCTGAAGTAGTTTCTTTTGTACATCCACAGGCTAGGATGGATTTCTTTTACACCTATTCAGAGAATTTCTATTCAGTTTGTTATTAGTAATCACCCCCTAGTCACTTTCTTCATATCTGTTTTCTAGATAACAGTTCCCTAGTTTACACCCATATTGTGTATTATTCTTCCCTAAGTGTATTATCTTATACTCTTTACATTAAATCTCACCTTGGACCTGTCATTTCAAATCCCCATGTTGTCCATAATCCATCCATGTACTTGATTGATCTTGTTTTGTTTTCTTTTTAATCCATTCTAGCTTTGTATCCTCTGCAAACTTGATCATACTTGAATTTACATTCTCCTCCAGCTCATTAATGAGTATGCTAGACAGGATAGTTGTCATTCCTGTGGGACCATGCTGTATATACTGCTGGATGCTCTCAGTTGCAACTATGTTGATAATAATTCATTGCTTCCTTCCCATGACAGAATTCTTTATCTACAGTGCTATACTGTTATCCAGGCAATGCCTCTACCATCTCTGCTTTCTGGATACTCCTATTTCAATCATTTTTTTTCTAAGATTTACAGAAAAATTATTGTGCTCCCTTATCTATTTATGCCATTGCTTAATTTTTAAAAGAAGTTACTCAATCTGGGAAAATACTGTCCTTAAATAGAAATTTCTCAAAAGTTTCCATCGAACATCAGTGAGTCTTTAAAAATACGTTAAGTGTGAAACATTTTGGAAGTGCTGCCTAAGTCTTTGCTTTCTCCATGGAAAGGGATCTCAGTTATTTAAATTTTAAGTAAAACCATAATTATTTTTCTCACAGCTGAGAGAATGATTTAAATATATGCAAATTTTTTCTGAATGTCGATTATATTTTCAGTAAATTACTCTGGTTTGAGGTAGTTTTCTAGATGAGACACAGTTCATTTATAATTTTCAGAGCATGATGTGGAGCCATTTGTTACTTTATTTTTAAAGTTATGGTTTTTTTCTTTATTTTCAGGAAAAAGAAGAAGTAGAGGGGATATCAGTAGGTGCTATACTTTCTGACTATCAGCGTATTCGAGTGGAAAATGTGTAAGAAAACATTAATTTGTTAGTTTTAAAAGTGTATGTGTTTTAAGAATGTGAATAAGTGAAAAATAATAATCATATTCAAATTATAAATAGGTATGGTAGTCTACGTGCTCCATGGAACTAAATGTGTGTATTTACCTAAGTAACAAAAGTCATGCTTTTCCTTTTTTCTATCCTTATATCTCACATGAGGAAACTTAACTTATTTAGTGTAAGGAAAAATAATCTATAATAGAATTGAGACAGATTTTTTAGTGAGAAGTATTCTCTTCACTTTTTTCTTATTTGATTTAGTATATCCTGTTAATCTCTTTTAACTCATCATTTGTAATAAAAATCAAGAGATAATAAAAGGAATACAGTAATATTTTAAAGAAAAAATGTTTACTAAGGAGTCCTCTCCTCTTTGGTTCATATAATTCAGTTCTTGTCTAAAAATATTTATATGATTGAAATGCTTACATATAAAGCCATTCAACTTTCAGGGAATTTTTAGGATGTTCCTCCCCTCGTCCTAGCCCGTCTCTACTCCCCTAAGGGAGGGAGCACTAGTGAAGCATTTAGTCTGTAACTGCACATACCAAAACGGTCAATTCTATTGATCTATTCAAAAATCATGAGGTTAAATGATAATATTGGTTATTTAATGTTGGCCTGGCAAGACACCACCTGAATGAATTTACTTTTCATTTTTAATTTATCTAGATAAATATAATATTTTATAGAGATTCTGGGCATAATTATATTAACAAAAAAAATTGGACTGCATTATTTTTCTTAAGCACAATTTGACCTACAAATAAGTGATTTTGCTAGTCAAAAGGATAAATAGAATAAGATAATGGCTGTATTTATATAATATTTTTATATTCTTGATAAAGAAACATTCCTATTTACTATCTCATTTAAAACCTACATATTAATAGATTTGAACACTTGTTTCATTTTTATTTTATTTATTTTCTCTCTAATTCCATGGTGGATTTAGGGCAGTTAAAAAAAATACAGAATTTTAAGAGTGAATGAAGGGAAAACAAGGTAAAGCATAGTTAAGTGAAGAGAAATATGATCTTACATTTTAGAGGTGTATCAGAATCTCTGGACGATGGATGATGATGATGGAGTGGGGAAGGAGGTCATGTGTATTTTGAGAAACTTTTCCTTACATTCTACCTAGATGTAGATCTACCGTTGAGAACAACTGATCTGCAGATGGAGATGAATTGCATATCCCTTAAGCCAGACATTAGAAATAATAGTATTGTCATCAAGTTTTAGATCATATTCTCTGAGAATTATTTAGTTTAAAAATTAGTGTTTTTTAAGAAGTTCAAACCCACAGGCTTTAATGGGTAGCCAAACTGGAGATAGGGATGACATCTATTTATGAAAGTTAAAAAGCCAAATAAAAATGTGCTCCTGATTAGGAGGCTGCCCATTACATATATGTGTATATATATATGGAAGAAGGGCACATGTCATGCCCATGGGTAGAGACTTTCTCAAAACACAATCACTGGTACACTTCAACACACGGTTGAACAGATGAACAGACGTTATATTATAAAGCATATCTGCAATTATTTTATCCTTGAAACTTCAAAAGTAATGTTACTGGGAGTCCATTGGTCCACAAACTCAATTTTGAATTAGCCTATGCCCAAATTTTAGTTTGTGTTGTATTATTACTAGTTCTTGCTGTCCTCTCACCCAGTGTTTAATGCCTACTAATCAAAACAGCCTCTCTACCTTTTTAAACTAAGATTTATTTTTTTATGGACAAAAAGTTTTTTCTTCCTGTCCTTATCGTAAAATTCGTGGTTGTTGCTTTGAAATTCCTCAAAATCTCTTGACTATAGACTTAAGTAAAATTTTTTAACCTATTTAAGTTCTTTAACAGTTCAAAATATCATGGCTCAAATAAACTTACTCTGTAAATCACTGCTGAATTTGAACTTGTGACATCTATTAAACACTTTACATTCTGCAATTATGTTTGTATTACATGGGTAGTTCACATTTTATTCTTTTTGTATTTATTAACTGCTTCAGCATTGCTTTAGATGTTCTGAGACATTTTAAAAGGGAAAATTACACGCAACAATCTCTGCAATGAGGAAGGTTTTGGTTTTTTGAAAGTCAGGGTATATGTAAATGAAAAAAATAGTGATATTTTTAAGGCCATGTATGAATAAATGACCAAACATGGTACATTTAATAAGTATTGGGATCTCTGAGAGAGAGAGAGAGAGAGAGAGAGATCAATATAGGCCAGAGAAGTCGGCCAAGCAGCCTTACAGATGCTAGGGACGCTGGGTTTTACTTATAAACCTTATAGACACTGGGTTTTAGAGCTATATTCTTGGTTTGAAATCTGATCTCAGCCAGTTAGTGTATGACTTGGGCAAGTCACTTGGCTTTGACTATCATTTATTGAATACCTGTTTTATCCAGGCATTGTACTACATTATCTATATTACCTTTAATTCATTAAACAATTATAGTCCTCTCTGAGAAAGTGACATTTAAGCAAAGGCACGAAACTAGTGTAATAGGCAAGAATGAGCAGGCAGCAGTGAGTGGTAGGATGGAGTGAGAAGAGAATAAGTAGTAGGAAATAAAGTGCAGGAACTAAACAGGGTGAGATCCATGGAGTGATGGGGAGCCACTGGAGGGTTTTGAGCAGAGGAATCCTATGATCTATTTTATGTCTTCTTTTTTTGTTTGTTTGTTTTTTGAGACAGAGTCTCGCTCTGTCGCCCAGGCTGGAGTGCAGCGGCGCAATCTCGGCTTACGGCAAGCTCCGCCTCCCAGGTTCACGCCATTCTCCTGCCTCAGCCTCCCGAGTAGCTGGGACCACAGGCGCCCGCCACCATGCCTGGCTAATTTTTTGTATTTTTAGTAGAGACGGGGTTTCACCGTGTTAGCCAGGATGGTCTCGATTTCCTGACCTCGTGATCCACCCGCCTTGGCCTCCCAAAGTGCTGGCATTACAGTCGTGAGTCACCGCGCCTGTCCTATTTTATGTCTTAAAAGGATCACATTGGCTGCTGTGTTGAAAATGGATTTTAAAAGGGTGAGGGTGGAAGCAGGGAAGGAAATTAGGATGTTGACATGAGAGAGAATGGTGGCTCAAACGAGGTTGTTAGCAGTGGTGTTAGTGAGGAATGATCACATTCTGCATTGTGGTAGATTGGATGTGGAATGCGAAGAAAAGGAAAGGATGATTTCATTTCACATTTTTTAATCCTCTTAAGAACTTTGAAAGGAACTATTTTTGCCCCTATTTATGAACTAGGAAACTAAGCACAAGGACTTAGATTTTACTTGACTTCAAAAGCCATGCAGCTAGAGTACAAAATGAGGTTTTAAATTCAGATGTGTCTTCACTCCAAAACCTATATTTTTTCTACTTTACCAATAATGGAAAATATCTAGTACAGTGCCTGCAGCATTGTACTTTTTTTCTTACTATTTTCTTTTTATTCAAATTCTTAAAAAAAAATTCAAAGTTAGTAGATAAGAATAGTTCACATAACTGTAGCTATTGTTAATTTAATAAATATGTGGCTATTTTATTAGGATAAATTATTGGCCCACTTTACATATGCTTCAAAATTTTGATACCCATGAAAGTTTTAAAAATGAGAGTATACTGGCATTTGTAAATTCTTTTACATAGATTTCTAAACTAAGAGTCTTACTAAAATTAATATTTCTAGTGTGCCTGGAAATTTCATTTTTATCAGTTTATGCATAACCCATGGAAATTAAATATGTTTATGTTGTATATATAAACATTATGCAAAATATGTTTTTAAAAGCATTTTCAATGCTAAAATCCTTGAACGAAGCATTATGTTTCAAATCAAAGTAATTGCTGTGGATCCAAGTATAAAACATTAAGAGATCATCTGACTTTCTTTTTCTTTTTCTTTTGTAGGTGTAAAAGGCTTAATCTCCAGCCTTTAGCTTATCTTTGGCAGAGAAACCAGGAAGATTTGCTCAGAGAGATGATATCATCTAACATTCAAGCAATGATCATCAAAGTAGCAGCTTTGGGTATGCAGCCAAACTATCAAGGGAGCTGTTTGTTGCCACATAGATGATCTCAGTTCACTAATAAGTAGTTAAAATGAACAAAGAAAACTGATTTAGAATATAAAAATGTGGAGTCACAGCTGAAGAAATTGAGTAAGCACCTTCCTTGCATAAAGAAAAGGAAGTTTTAAAGTGGTCTTTTGACCATTTGCCGAAGTGATTACTAGTAAGGCTTTTTTTTTTTTTTTTAACATATAACAGGTTCTAAAACTGATATTGTATTATAGTCCTTCATTTTAAGTTCTTTTTTTTTTAGGGTTTGGAATTTAGGCTTGTAGGAAACAGGAAATACAAGGGTTATTTTTGTTTTGTTTTGAGGTTTTTTGGAAGCTTTTTATAATATGTATTTGACACAAAACATTTTCCTTGTATTTTTTAGCATATTTTGAATAATGCTAAAATAGAATGATGGTTTTGTTTTTGTTATAAAAAATAAATAGGGTACTGGTTTTTGTTGGGGATGGTGAGAAAATCATGTTTGAGAAAAAGTTATCTGATTAGTTAGCATAGACACAGCAGGCAGGTGGTAATCTGATTCAAGTATGGACATTACATATGAGCACATTTAATTTATTTGGAATTTCTATAATTATATTCATTTTTGAGAAACCGTAGGGTTTGAGCCCAGTCTGTTCATTTCGTGAACCTGTTATAGAAAATGCCCTGAAACCTGAGAGTTCCCAAAGCCTAAATCATGTACCTCATTTGAAAGTGTTTACCTTGCAGATCTCTGAAATAACAAGGTCTCAAGCTGTAGAAGATTTTACAGATACATTCAGTTTTTAAATAAAATTAAGAGAAATAGTACAGACCCCATAATATTTCTCCATGGTAAATACCAAGCTACTGTATTCTTGCTGAAGTTGAGGTGTTGTCTTCAGTTGAAGCCTTTATTTAGTGAATCTGTAGTTGATCTCCTTAGCTGTTAAAACAAGAAAGATTGAGTGATATTATGTTTTTATTTCTGAGAAAAGGTTGCTGAGCAGCTCTCATGATTAACGTTATTATATTTGTCATATGAATTTCTATGTGACTCTGTACAGAGTATTCCCTCTTGCTTTTTCTTTGTCTCTCACTCTCTCTTTGAATTTTCTAAGATTACATAATTCCATAATGAAGTTCACGTGACGTCTCACTGAAAGGTACACATACTATTCCTTTTACTGCCCGATAGATAAAAGACTGGATTAGGACCCAGAGAGACCTCCCTTATTGAAAAGATAGTCAAAGAATTTGACCTTATTGCCATCTTTTAATAGTATATAACCGATATTGTGTGTTCTTTCATTTCTATCTGTGCCTCTCTGTAGGGATTAGAGATGGGGAATTAGCTTTATCAAGCCTTTGGGTAAAATGTAAAAACTGAGCTGATTTGTCTTTGGCATCTCAGTAACAAAAATATAGATCTGATTTTAACATTTACAGCACTGCCTGTGTGCTGACTGCCTATAGGTGTGCAAAGATGAAAGTTATTCTTTAGAATAATATTAAAGAAAGGTTTATTAAATGGCACAGTACTTCTGAAGACATAGAAACATATAAATGATGCAATATAGGTTGCTAAGCCTTTTTCCTCCCATTTAAAATTATCAGAACAATTTTAAATGGATTTAAGCCAAAAAAAAGGGACTTTTTTTGGATTTAAGCAAAAAAAAAAAAAATGAGACAATAAGACCTTTCTGTGGGGGAGAGGGATCAGTAAAATTTTGTGGACCATTTTTCTATGAAATGGTCTTATAATAGAAAAAGGTCAGTTCTACATGAATGCATACAAATATATTTTTTATAATTATGGTATGTAACCTTTATGTCTTATAGGCATCAATGAACTCATAAAATTTCTGGCTTCTTTGTTTCATTATAATGTTTTAAGGGACTCATCCATATTATTGACTGAAGCAATAGTGTGTTTATTTTTATTGTAGTATAGTGTTCCCTTGTGGGAGACTGTAATTTAATTAAATTTAATTAACACCACAATTTAATTGTCCATTCTATTATTGATGACATATAGGTAGTATCCAGTTTGGCACTGTGATAAACAGTGCTGCCACGAAGTGGTCATCTTACACATTTTCTATCCCAGACCTAGAACATCCTTTTTTTCAGGAAGCCCTGATTTCTTTGAATGTGAAATGATATATGTCTGTATGTGTATATCTAATGACTCATGAGTTCATGATATTTCACAATCAAATTCAAGACAACATAAGGATTATCATAATTCTGTATTCCATCACTGCACTCTTTCTTCCACAGTGAATCTTGATTATCAAGGTCACAAGAGATATTATTTATTAGAAAATCCCATAATTTTTGGGAACAAAAAGACCAAATAGCAGATCTATTATCCATTCTTTCCAGTAACTGGGGTAGGCTTCCTGGAAAGAAAGAAGAAAGAACTTCTATAATCTTTCTATAAACATATAATTATAGACCTCATGGCAAAAAACAAACAAAGAAACAAAAAATCACTAATGGTATTTACTAGAGGGGAAGAGTATCTTTGGACTGCTTTTAGCAGGATATATCTAGTTGCTAAAAAAGAGAGAGAAATGATAAAGGAAAAACGTGAGACCACTTTTACCTATTACTGGAAAACCTCCTGTTTCTTGAAAGATATATTTGTTTGCAAAGTAACTAAATTGATCACTAGAAAAACTATACTGGTTTAAGGGTTAGTTTGTTCAGTTAAATGATGGTGTAGTAACATTGACTATGAAAGGAAATAATGCTAGGACTCTACTTATAAGCTTTCTAGGATTGCGATATAGGAATGAGATGATGGGGGAGGAGGCAAGTACACAACTATATATCTTTCCCATTTCGTAGATTTTTTTTTTGTTAGTTTTGCCTGATCCAATGGTCCTAGGCTCGAGTTTAAAGTTGCACATACCAAAGGAAAGTGTTGTCAATGCACAAAACACAATATCAATACATTACATTGACAGTGCATATTCTTAAAGGCCTTTAGGGGTATGGATAACTTCACTCTGTGTAGGCAAATTAAGGCCTATCCATAAACACAAGCCAAGTGTCTTGTGATTCTTATCTGTCAAATCCTGTAATATCTGCCAAGGAGAAGTGCTAACAAGGCTGCTGTTTTACTGTCCCTGTGGGTTTATAATACAACCGTTGAGCCAGTTAGCCCAATCATGGGGAAAAGGGTGTGGGTCAAAACAGGTAATAGATGGAAATGGCGGGGGGGGACGTATAAGAGATAGAAAGGCATTATAAGTGAATTCAAGTTCTGTGGAGAGCTGTAACCATGTGACCTTCCATGGCAGAGCCTCAGAGCTAGAAAATAATAAGGTATTTGGTATCTCTCCGTGGTAAATACCAAGCTACTCCATTCTTGCTAAAGTTGAGTTGTTGTCTTGGATATCTCTCTCAAATTTGATGCTCACCTAACTGATGTTGAGAGAACACTCTGGATGTGTTTTCTGGAGAGAAGGGAAATTGGTGATGTATAGCTCTACTTAAAGATTCCACCTATGGCCTGTAATCCCAGCACTTTGGGAGGCCGAGGCGGGCGGATCACGAGGTCAGGAGATCGAGACCATTGTGTCTAACACGGTGAAACCCCATCTCTACTGAAAATACAAAAAAATTAGCCATGCGTGGTGGTGGACGCCTGTAGTCCTAGCTACTCAGGAGGCTGAGGCAGGAGAATGGCATGAACCCAGGAGGCAGAGGTTGCAATGAGCCGAGATCACGCCACTGCACTCCAGCCTGGGCGACAGAGCAAGACTCCGTCTCAGGAAAAAAAAAAAAAGATTCCACCTATGTAATCTAGAGGAATAAAATGGCAGAGTGCCCCTTGATGACTCAATGTAGGAGCAGTTCACTACAGTTACAACTCATTTCTTGGTTTATAGGCTATCCAGTTGTCCCTTGAACTACAAGGTGGTTAGGAGCACCAACCCCCTGCACAGTTAAAAAGCCACGTAAAACTTTTGACACCCCAAAAATTTAACTACTAATAGCCTGCTGTTGACCAGAAGCCTTACCAAAAACATAACAGTCCATTAACACATTTTGCATGTTGTATGTATTACATACTATATTCTTACAATAAAATAAGCTGGAGAAAAGAAAATGTTACTAAGACAATTATAAGGAAGAGAGGCCAGGTACAGTGGCTCATGCCTGTATTCCCAGGACTTTAGGAGCCCAAGATCGCTTGAATCAGGAGTGAGACCAGCCTGGGCAACATAGGGAGACCTATGCCTATAAAAAGTTTAAAAATTAGCTGGGCATGGTGGTGTGTGCCTGTAATCCCAGCTACTTGGGAGGCTGAGGCGGGAAAATCACTTGAGCCTGGGAAGTCAAGGCCTCAGTGAGCTGTCTTTGCACCTCTGCACTCCAACCTGGGTGAAGAGCAAGACCCTGTCTCAGAAAAAAAAAAAAAAAAAAGGAAAAAAAAAAAAAGGGAAAATACACTTATAGTACTGTACTGTATTTATCAATACTGTAAATTTATGTCATCTGTTTACAAAATGAATCATTGTCTGAAATTGCAGGCAACCACAGCTGCAGATCTTGATCTACAGAACATCAACTTTTTCTTATAATGTCATGACTTTTCTCTGCGTCTTGAGAACACATCCAGCATCACTAGTGGCAGTTCGTATGGGTCCCATGTTGTTACTCGAGGTTTACAGTATTTACGCTAAACACAATGAAATATATGCAAGAACCACTAGAGATCACTTTTTACTGTGATACACAATTTACTGGAGACAGAAACTGCTCTGCTCATGCAGAGATGATTAGCATCACATAGTATTTTAAGCAGACACTAGCAACACTTGAGCTCACCGCAGTGGCAATGTAAGTTGGCTACAAAATTAATACAGTAGTAACAATAGATAATAATAGTGAATTTTATGCAGTTATGATTTAATGCTGCATCTTTGTTTACCTTTCTCTCACCTGTGAATGATATGTGCGTGTTTTGATAAATTTCAACCTTTTATAATAGATTTGTATATATTTTATGGTAGTAAATGATAAAATACATGAACAGCTACATGTATTTCATGCATGCATGACATACCTTTCTCTTAATTTTTTCAGTATTTCTAGGCTACATGGTTCATATGTTGAGTTTTTTCAAATTGTCACACATCTCTCCAAATATACGTATTGAAAAAAAAATCCATATATAAGTGGATCCAGGCAGTTCATATTCATGATGTTCAAGGGTCAACTATTTACCATTCAGATCTCTTTTTTTTTTTTTTTTTTGATGATGATGATTTGACTATTACTAATTAAAGTACACAGATGGAGGATTCGGAACAGTAGGACTTTTGCACTCCTTGTGGACATAAATCAAGACAATATGTTGCTAAGACATCTACCTAGGTATAATGGAGAGCAGATTTCTACTGCCTGTTACAGCTTGATTTCCTTCTAATGTAGAATATGTGAATGTGAATGGAATTCATTTAAGGGAATTGGAAGACCACCTTGAGGGAGATGGATTTGGATGTAATGTAATGAATAAATGTTACTAACAACTCCTCTCTGGAGTTATGCAGAGTATGTTTGTGAAAAGCCTATGACACACCCAGAGAGAGCTGTATTTGATACATAATATACCAAATGACAATCTCATGATACTTTTTTGTATGTGTGCAAACTATTTTTCTAAATTGTACAAATTTTACTAATGTACCACAGTAATAACCCATGTTGTTGCTTGATGAGTATTGTCTCTGCTGTCTTGATATTCTGAAGGCATTTTTAGTAATGGTCTTGAGGACCATTACTAATATCATACCAAATCAGACCAAAATAATGTTCCTGAAAGCTCGTGATGAAAAGGATTTGCTAATCCAAATAGAGACACTAGAGGGAGCTCTCTTCCAGGAGACTGGCTGCATCTGGAAATGGCCCTAGAGGGACAAGAAAGCTTTAAATGACTGGACTCATAGAGTATTTAATGGAACATCATATTGGTCAACAGTGCAAGAAGAGGGCTTATACTCTTATGTAGGAAAGACTTTTAAATATTCCAATTGCTATGGAAGTTGTTGTTTTTAAAGATTCATTGCCAGCAGTTCTAGTAGCCAAGCTAATATTGAAGAAAGACTCTTGAATATTCCAATTGCTATGGAAGTTGTTGTTTTTAAAGATCAATGACCAGCAGTTCTAGTAGCCAAGCTAAGGATGCCCACTTATGGAAACACTATGGTTAGCCTAAATTATGGGACATTGCTGAACAGTGTGGCCTTTATATTTGTTCTCCAATGGCCGAAGTATCACAGATAAAAAGGGAATTTGTCTTTCTCATGCTACACTGATTAGAATTGGAAGGATAAAGGAATGACATTATGTTATCCTGAAGGGAGCTTGTTGCATAATGACATCTGGAAGCCAATAACTTTTAAAACCTATACTATGCTATGTATAATTATATCCTCAAGCCAAATGGAATCCCGAATTTATTGAACAATAATCTCTAGTCACTAACCTAGTCACTGTGACTATGAATGTGCATTTAAAAAGGTTGTTTTTGTTGGGAAGAAACAGAGAATGGTATTGTGATTCTAGTTGACCTCATGTGCCAATCTGGGCCAGAGTATAGCAGTGAAGGACCTGGAGAGCTGTTCTGATGGTCTTGGAACTCTACCTTATTTGTTAGGCTGCCTGATTACTTCTCTTCTTGAAATTATCAGAAAAGGTTGAAACTGGGTAAGGTGTCCAATTTGTTTGAGTCTGATTTGACAAGCTGTTATCTTGGTTTAACTCAACTTCATATTTATTTTGTATTACACTATAAAATAAATATCACATTGTATGTGGGGCTGTAGAGAACATATCCTTATGTTTCTGCACAGTTAGGACCTTCTGAGCAAATTTTACAGAAACTTGGGACCTAGGCTAAAAGATGAGCTTTAGAACTTAATTTATGACTGAACAGTTAAGTGAAAACTCCAGAGAGACTTACCTTTCTAGAGGTATCTGTTTACATTTCAAAGGAAGGGTTGAGACCAGGACCTTGGAGACATTTCTTGGGTAGTAAAGCTGGAGACACTAGTTTTTCCCCTCAGGAAGATTTATTTACATTCCAAAGTGTGAAAGCACATATCCTTCCCTTTACTTTTCCAAGGAAACTCTCAGAAGGGAAGGGACAACAGCTGCCTCTTTTTTCCTAAATCAGTACTCAGATTTATTTTTCCAGACCCCTTGCCTGTGGTAGATGAAATTACTTGCAAGATTATATCTCTTTCTCATCACCTTGCTCCTGGAGTAAGAGCTGGGGCAGAGAAAAGTCAGAACAGTATTATTTACTTATTCTTTGTAAGTAATAAAAATAATAATGTGTTCTGCTCCAGAGAACTCTTGTTGGGACTCAGCATACCAATAGATATAGATATTATATTAAAATGGTAACAATATATGAGACAATTTCAGAATAACAATGCTAATGCCACTACTGATGATATAATTTCTGAGAACAGTTAAAAAGAATTTTTTGTATGTGCTTTTATGAATTTCCCCTCTCATTTTTAAGAGATCTTTTTATCTGTATTGTCTGAGCATATAGCTACTATGACTACACATTCCTTATGTTTTAAGTTTTATGGAAATGTAATTAATACACTATGCATGTCACCCACTTAAAATGTACAATTCAATTTTTTTAGTGTATTCACAGGTTGTGCAATCATCACCACAGTCTAGTTTTAGAATTTGTGTTCCCCAAAAAGGAATCTCATGCTCGTTAGTAATCATTCTCAAGTTGCCTCCAACCCCTGCCCCACTGCTCCCAGCTTTAAGCACCATGAGGACTTTGTGTCTTCATATCTTTATAGATTTGCCTATTCTGGATATCTCATATAATTGGAATCCTACAATATGTGGTCACTGTGACTGGCTTCTTTCACTTAGAATAATGTTTTCAAGAATCATCCAAATTATAGCATATATAATTGAGTTCTTTTTGTTGCCATATAATATTCTGTTACAAAGATACGTTTATTTAGCCATTCATCAGTCCATGGACATTTGAGTCATTTCCATTTTTTCTTTATTATGAATAATGCTCCTATGAACATTTGTGTACAAGTTTTTCTTTGGACCTATATATTCATTTCTCTTGGGTATATACCTAGGAGTGGAATTTCTGTGTCATATGATAATTCTATGTTTAACGTTTTGAGCAACCACCAAACTGATTTCTAAAGTGGCTGTACCACTTTACATTCCCACTAGCAATGAATGAGGGTTCCAGGTTTTCACATCCTAGCCAACAGTTAATTATTTTCTGTCTTTCTTATAGCTATCATGGTGAATGTAAAGTCTTATCTCATTGTGGTTTTATTTTGCATTTCTCTAATGGCTAATGATGTTGACCATCTTCTCATGCATTTATTGGCCCTTTGTATATCTTCTTTAGAGAAATGTCAATTAAAATCCTTTGCCTATATTTTAATTATTTGTCTTTAGTGCATTGTAGGTTTTCTTTAATATATATTCTGAGTATAAGTCTCTTATCAAATGTGTGATTTTAAATATTTTCTCCCATTTTGTGGGTTTTCTCTTTACTTCTGGGTGGTGTCCTTTGAAGCATAAACATTTTTAGTTTTGACGTA
Source organism: Homo sapiens (assembly GCF_000001405.40). NCBI lineage: Eukaryota > Metazoa > Chordata > Mammalia > Primates > Hominidae > Homo > Homo sapiens. The sequence continues at coordinate 35,442,039 of NC_000015.10, read as the reverse complement.
GTCCAATTTATCATTTTTTTGTTTTGATTACATGTTCTTTTGATGTTATTTCTAAGAAATCATTGCCTAACTTGATGTCACGAGATTTACTCCTATGTTTTCTTCTAAGAGTTTTATACTTTTAGCTCTTACATTTAGATATGTGATTTCCTGGTTCTGTCCTTCTCCCACTGTGTTTGTATATATATGTATACACACACACATACATATATGAGCTCATCATTTTTTTTATTATACTTTAAGTTCTGGGATACACGTGCAGAACATGCAGGTTTATTAAATAGGTATACATGTACCATGGTGGTTTGCTGCACCCATCAACCCATCATCTACATTAGATATTTCTCCTAATGCTATCCCTCCCCTAACCCCCCACCCGCCAGCAGGGCCTGGTGTGTGATGTTCCCCTCCCTGTATCCAAGTGTTCTCATTGTTCAACTCCCACTTACGAGTGAGAACATGTGGTATTTGATTTTCTGTTGCTGTGTTAGTTTGCTGAGAATGATGGTTTCCAGCTTCATCCATGTCCCTGCAAAGGCGACGAACTCATCCTTTTTTATGGCTGCATAGTACTCCATGCTGTATATGTGCCACATTTTCTTTATCCAGTCTATCTTTGATGGACATTAGGATTGATTCCAAGTCTTTGTTACTGTGAATAGTGCTGCAGTAAACATACATGTGCATGTGTCTTTATAGTAGAATGATTTATAAGCCTTTGGGTATATACCTAGTAATGGGATTGCTGGGTCAAATGGTATTTCTGGTTCTAGATCCTTGAGGAATTGCCACATTGTCTTCCACCATGGTTGAACTAATTTACACTCCCACCAACAGTGTAAAAGCATTCTTATTTCTCCACATCCTCTCCAGCAACTGTTGATTGCTGACTTTTTAAAGATCACCATTCTAACTGGCATGAGATGGTATCTCATTGTGGTTTTGATTTGCATTTCTCTAATGACCAGTGATGATGAGCTTTTTTTCATATATATGTTTGTTGGCTGCATAAATGTCTTCTTTTGAGAAGTGTCTGTTCATATCCTTCACCCACTTTTTGATTGGGTTGTTTGTTTTTTCTTGTAAATTTGTTTAAGTTCCTTGTAGATTCTGGATATTTGTCCTTTGTCAGATGGATAGATTGCAAAAATTTTCTCCCAGTCTGTAGGTTGCCTGTTCACTCTCATGATAGTTTCTTTTGCTGTGCAGAAGCTCTTTAGTTTAATTAGATCCCATTTGTCAATGTTGGCTTTTGTTGCCATTGCTTTTGGTGCATAAGGCACATATTCCTGGTGGCTCCTCCCCATTCTCCCAGTGATCATGCAGACCCCCAGTCTGTTGCAGGCATGCCCAGGCAAGACCCTGTGCGGGTTCCCTTATCTGCCTCCTGCCTCTATCATTCCCCCTTCTAAAGAAGGACATATAACTGCCATTAGGATAAGGATAGGGATAAGGATAAAGACTGATCTTTACTGCATACTGCTGACAGAGGGGGTACTGTTTTGGGAAGACAGAATCAGATCTCCCTCAGAGGCCTATTTAAGGTTCCCCGCTTAAAGGGGGCCATTGTTTGAGGCTCCAGTTGCATGACTGTTTGGAGTTCGATGGCCTGAAGGCAAGAGGAGACAAACCTGGTTATTAGAAAACATGTCAAAACGAAACAAAAAGGGGTGGGTAAGGACAGTTTTTAAATCCCAAGGCTGTTGACATGCCTAGATAACTGGTGACTATAGTCAGGGTTGCTAAGATTTGGGTGCATGGGGCTTGGCTTTGGTTAGCCCTCTTTGTCTTATTTTCCCAAAAAGGAAACCTCCAGGTTATGGGCACCTTATTTACTCCCATCACCTGGCAGGATTTTCAGGATAATTGCTCAGAATTAAAATATTGAACCAGATTTTTACATTACCCATCCCTTTTGTTCCTTCTGAGCTGCAGCCAGAGATTGCTGGTTGGTTCACAGGAATAAGCAGTGTAAGCCTAAAATGTAGGCAAGAACTTAAAAAACAACTAATCAGTCTGGAATTTAATGATAAATATGTAAGTTTTGAAACATAATTTCTCTCCAGTCCTCATTTTTGTTAAAAACAAAGCATAATAGGATTGAGTTGTTTGCAAAATAACTTTAGTCTCATACTTGGCTTGATTATTTGCGTAATGTGGAGCAAAGAATAATTATTTCTACATGGGCTTTTTAAATTGGATTTGATGGAACTCTATTCTACAAGGAATCTCAGATAGGACTTTTTTTTTTTTCCTTTTTTAAAGCCAAGCCCTGCCATGGGTTTGTACACTTTAATGACTATGAGTTGGGTGAACTCCTCTCTTCTTGAGGTCCCAAGAACATGGGCTCCTGGACCTGTTAGCAAGTGACATTCTTTACTCACCACAGGTTAGGAACTTTGTACAGGGACTATGTAGACAGGGTATCTACTATAGACAGTTTTCCCAAGCGGTTTTTATTGGATCTGCAAGTTGAGCTTGATTCCTTAAAAGGAAGCATACCCTTCCAGTCAAAGCCTTGATAAAACAACCAGTTTCTCCGATTGCATCCTGTTGCAAGAGAAAATGGATTCTTATTGCACTGATGCAAATAACCATATTGTCATAAGTTAAGAATGCTGACAGTGTCCAAATACTAGAGAAGCCAGGCAGAGAGAAACAAATATGCTCCAAATTTTGTTCACAGGAGTATACCCCACTCTATTAAAGGCTATAAATAGCTCAAAATAAGTTGCCTTGACTCTGAAAACAAAATAAGTATCAGCAGTGTTTTAAAGAAAAGTTTAAAAAGCTTACTCAGTTTTTCATTAGTTCGGTCCATTCCATTAACTCGTGTTCTGTTTGATATTCATCAACATTTCAGCTATTAATATCAACCCTAATTTTCTAATGAAATCTTAAAGACAATTCTATCCAGTCTTAACCAGTTTGACCGTGAGGTGAGATCGTCATAAACCTTTTATAACTCTTTATAAATTTTGCTAAAAAGCAGATTAGTACCTTAGGAAAACTTTGTTGTGCTTTTATTTCAATGCTCAATTTACAGAAAAACCATATAATACCCTTTTGAATCTAGTCAGTGTTCACACACAGAATTTCTTTTGCAAGATTAATTTTTAGAAACCTTCCACAACTTGTTTAAACCTTTGGCTTTATTTTACCTAATTTAAAATAATCCTATAAACCCAGGTAAAAAATTACATTTTGATGGCATTTGCATTTTACCAGTAATCTCCAAGGCTGTTTCCGTTTCTCAAAGACTAAAGTCACATGAACTAAAAGGGGCACCACACTTTTTATCTTCCCTTTAAAAGATATTTGATCTAGGTGCTTATTTTCCTTTAGGCCAATTAATAAGAGCTCTCTTTTTGTAGACATCACACACAACATATATATAACCACACAGACAAACAGAAGCAGATCCAATAGTTATAGGATATTCTGTTTGCCAATCTCCTAACTGGGCTATTGGCCTCCAAATGGGGCCCTTTAAGAGTAGGGCTAGGAAAGCATGCAGTTTCTAGGACCTAATAAACAGGTAAAGCTGGAAGACAAAAACAAATTTTGAGAAAGATTCATCCGCCTCTAATTCCTGGGGCTCCACGAGGAAAACGGAGGCTTCTCCCAAAATGGAATCCTTGGCACCTTTTCTGTTTTTCCCAAGTAATCACAGGCCATCGCTTGAACCAGGGACATGGAGGTTGCAGTAAGCTGAGATCGCACCACTGCACTCCAGCCTGGACGAAAGAGAGAGACTCCATCTCAAAAAAAGAAAGAAAAGAAATGATCTTAGGGCCTCTCATGTGTGTATTAAGGGTGGCAAGACAAAATGGAGAAAAGAATTTAGTCAACTGAGAAAAAAACTTTTTCCAGAAAAACGAGATACAAGAAGAGAAAAATATAAAGGTCTTTAAATATACCTATGACTTGGGTATCCATTTTTAATTTAGCTCAGCGCTGTTTATGAAAATCCATTTAAATCCCTTATTATCCAACTTTAACCATGCCAAGTGGCCAGTATTTTGGCTTTCAAATTTTACCAAGGTAACCTCCCAGGGACTCAGAGGAAGGAAAATTCAAGGTGATTTGTGGAGGGGAAGAGAATCAACAAATGGTAAAGGTCATGCAAATATCAAACCAGAAAGAACTCATTCCCTAAGCCAGGACTGAACCTAGGCTGCCATTGTAAAATGGCAGAGGCTAGAACAAAGCACTGCCACATGGTTACAGGTCATGCTTCCAAGGACATAAAACAAGATAGAGGCCTGCAGCAAAGTTTGCCACTGACTGGTTTGCTGGCCTGGGTTGAACAACAGGCCTGTGGAGTACTAGGCCTGTATCTCATCCTAAGGTACCCCTCTTTCTGACAGAACCATGCAGAGTGACATGCAGAGCACACCAGTTTGGCTATAGCTTAAGACCAGCCTCACAAATCCTTTTTCATAATTAAAACTTTACAGAAAATATAAACAGTGATCCTTACCATTCCCTTTACCGGTTTGCACCAGGAGAGGGAGGCCAAAAGCCCAACTGGTAAGAAAAAAGTTTACTCTTTTGCCTGCATGTCAGGCTCCGGGGTTCCCTTCCTCCAAGCTCAGTCCCAAGCCAACCAGTTTAAGGTTTGGGAAATTAACTTCTCCCAGTTTGGAGCATACATCCAAGAGGACTGTCCTGTAGGGGGACCCAATTACTCATCTGTGAAGAAAGGACAGAGGAGGAAAAAGGAAAAAGAAGACATTTTTTTCAAAGGAGCCCCAGGACTCAGGGTGCATTCAAAAGAGGTTCACAATGAAGATGAATGGCTACTCATCTAGAAAGAGGGGAGCGAGGCGTTCCTGGTTCCATTTTCTTCCTAGTGAATACCGTGGATATGTGAGGGAGAGAAAGTGAGGCATCCCTCTTTCTTTCGTCTGAGTATCCCTGAGGCCCAGCAACTGTGACAGGGTGCCACCATGGGCGTCAAAGTGGCTTTCACCCATGTAAACATGGGTGCCTAGGGAGTGGGATTATCTGCTGTTACCCACGTACACCCTGTCTCCCCTGCTGTTAGTAGCCTTCGAGCTCCAAAACTTGGAATTGAGTTTGGGACAAAAATGTGTCTCGGGGGTTGCATGGACTCCTTATCATAAGCCAAATGCTAAGGAGAAGCTGTGGAATTGAGTCCTCCAACAAGGGAGAGAAAAGGGTGTCCTGGCCTAGTAAAATGTCCTCTAAAAGGGGGAGAAAAAAAAGCCTCTTGCATAAAACTTAACTCCTGACCTGGTGGAGAAAAGAAAAAAAAAAAAACTTAAAGGCAGGGCTGTCTTAACTGAGACAGGATGGAGAAAAACAAAAAAAACTTAAATGCAAAGCTGTATTCACTGCTGACAGGGTGGAGGAAAGAAAAAGGTGCCTGAGCAAGAAACCTCTTATTCTTATGCAAATGGATTTCTCCAACAGGAGAGAAACTTTTTCTTTTATGAGATGGAGTCTCTTTCTGTCACCCAGGCTGGAGTGCAGTGACGAACAGGGAGAGAACCTTTTTTGTTTTGTTTTGTTTTGTTTTGTTTTGTTTTGTTTTTGTTTGTTTTGTTTGAGACGGAGTCTCACTCTGTCTCCCAGGCTGGAGCGCAGTGGCGCCATCTCGGCTCATTGCAAGCTCCGCCTCCCTGGTTCACGCCATTCTCCTGCCTCAGCCTCCCGAGTAGCTGGGAGTACAGGCGCCCACCACCACGCCCAGCTAATTTTTTGTATTTTTAGTAGAGACGGGGTTTCACCATGTTAGCCAAGATGGTCTTGATCTCCTGACCTCGTGATCCGCCTGCCTTGGCCTCCCAAAGTGCTGGGATTACAGGCATGAGCCACCGCGCCCAGCAGGAAAGAAGCTTTCAATTGCTGTCGGACTGAGCTAGACCCCTCGGCCAGGGAATGAGGGGACTCCATGGAGGTGTCGCGAGGTATGCTGCTCAGCTGGACGTGCAGGGCCTCTGGCCCCTGAGACTGCCCTGGGGCCAGGGCAGCAGCTATGGCCATATGTGCACCTACAGCCATTGGGGTGGAGGTGGATGACTGCTATAGTAAAAGAAAAGATAGGTGCCATTACGGTCCCAAAAAAAAGAAGGAAAATGCCATAGAAAAGGCTGGTTTGGACCAAGGCTGACATTCCCAAACCCCGAGAGCGAAGAAGGGACCACAGTTTCCTCTACCCTCAGAAGAAGTCCAAGGACAAGAAGGCTCAGAAACAAAAGGAAAAGAGATTTTTTGGTCCACATTTTACTCACCCCTCCTCATATGCCCGTATGGACCACCAAAATGATGCAAGATTTTTTGCTCCTTCAGCTAAAAATCTGGGTTCTTGTCTCACAACCAAGAAAAATTAGGCATACAGACACATGGAAGGGTGAGGAGGACAGATTTATTAGGCAAAAAGAATGCTCTCAGAAAAGAAAGAGGGGGTCCTGCCAACATGCACCCACATCACAGATTGAATACCAGGCCACCACACATGAGCTGAAGAGGCCTGACTCCTCCCCCTGCATAAGGCATGAATTCCTGGTGGCTTTACCCCATTCTCCCAGTGCTCATGCAGACCCCCAGTCTGTTGCAGGCATGCCCAGGCAAAACCCTGTGCAGGTTCCCTTTTCTGCCTCCTGCATCTATCAATTACTGCTCAATGTTTGCCTTTTTTGAAGCCATTCGAACAGTTGTCTACATTTGATTGTCCAAAACTCAGTAATTGTCACGTGTAGGCTATGGTGTGTTTACACCTCTACTTGTTGTATTTCACGATGTACAGAGATACCTTTAGGTCAAACTTAAAATATGTAAGGAGGCAGCTTTAGACTAAACTTGATTTAATGTTATGCAGCACCCAGGTGTATTTTTGTGGAAGGGTCGTGTAGATAATCGACCATTCTACTGGGGAAGGAAGTTTTTTACTTTATTTCTAACAATACAGTATTACTTAACTCACCAAAACTCATTAGTGACCAGGCATAGTGGCTCACACCTGTAATTCCAGTTCTTTGGGAGGCTCAGGTGGGCAAATGGCTTGAGCTTAGGAATTCAAGATCAGCTTGGGCAACATGGTGAAACCCTGTCTGTACAAAAAAAAAAAAAAATAGCTGGGCATGGTGGCATATACCTGTAGTCCCAGCTATCTGGGAGGCTGCAGTTGGAGGATCACTTGAGCCTGGGAGCCGGAGGTTGCAGTGAGCTGAGGTCATGCCACTGCACTCCAGCCTGGGCGACAAGAGTGAGACTCTGTCTCAAAAAGAAAACAAAACAAACAAACAAAAAAAGCCTTAGTAGTAATTTATGTTTCTTAATTATATATTTTTTCATCTTTATTGCTTTGAATTTTGTTTTGATGTTAATGATAGGACCACTGCAACCTTTCTTTACATTTGCCTGATACATTGTTGCCTGTTCTTTCATTTTCACTTTTCTATGTGTGTGTGCGTGCATATACTTTTAGATGCATTTTATAATTGGCGTAACATTGGATTTTATTATTGACCCAATCTTTGTCTTAAAAAGTTTAACTGTTTTTACTGATATAATCAATTAATTATTTCTTAATTTTTCTACTTATTTTATTCATTTTATGTCATCAATTTTTTGTTTTACTGCTTTTCCCTTTATTTTCTACCTTTTGCTATATGGAATATTTTAGTGCCCTCTGTTGTTTTGGCAGTAATGCATTCTATTAATAATTAGCTTTAATCTTTTCAAAGGTGTTCTTTAAATTATGATTTTTAAAATATCAACATCAAAGTTGTAATAGTCCCTTTTTATCACTTCCTAATCAATATAAGGAATTGAAGAGACTAGGCCTATAAGTGGACCAGAGACCTAGTCGTATTAGGTATCCTTACCTCCCAGAGATAGAAACGACTGACCTTTGACTCAAACTGGCCTGCTGTATTTTTTTCAGAAATGTATCTGCTGTTTTGAGTCTGATTTGTACTAGTTTATAAGCTGATAGTAGAGATGGATATAAACATTTTCACGGCAAGATGCTTTGGTACCCTGACAGTTGATTTATATATTGTAGAGGGCAGCCTTGTACAGTACATTTGGGAATGTCACAACCACATAAAGATATCTCTACCTCCCTTCTCTTTTCTCTTCCACAGACACATATATTAAGGGCCCAAATCAAGTTCTTAGAACAATGGTTTTCAACTGTGGCTGCACATCATTGTAGCCTGTTGAGCTTTTAAACATCCCAGTGACCAAACTGCACTCCAGACTAATTAAATTAGAATATCTGGGGATGGGACCCAGATACATGCAGTTTTTTAGAGCTTCAATATTAATTGATTTTAATATGAATCCAAGGAAGAGAACTACTGATCTAGTGCAGAAGTCATTAAACTAGGGTGAAATCTGATTCACTGCCTATATATGGAAATAGAGTTTTATAGGAACACAACATGTATATTTATTATTGTCTATGGCTGTTTTCATGCTACAATGGAAGAATTTAGTAATTGTGAAAGAACCAATTTTGCCTACAAAACCTAAAATATTTACCTTTTATGGAACATACTTGCCAACCCCAGTGTAGAGAGACTCAACGGGATTTTTACTATAACTCTGCAGTTTCATTATTAGCCAGATGTCTTCAAGGGAATTTTAAGGCCTGGAGTCTTGGCTTTCTGCTAAGAGAATGCCACTACTTCTCCTGCTTTGAAAAGCTATCTTCATAAAGTTAAGTTTTTGTTTATTCTAACAAACGAAAGCAAGTTTGTATCCTTGCCTATACTTGTTGGTGTGTATATCAATTGCTATCATCCTTTAATTTTTCCAATCCATTTTTCTACCTTTTCTGATTTGTGAAGTTTGAACCCATATTATTACTGACTTTACAGTTAAATACTATTAGTTATATATATTGCTTCTCTTTAAACAATGAATTTGACATTTGTATTTAATACTTTGATTTGCAAAACTTCTTTGACACAATTATATATGTGACTGGGTTTTGGCATTTACCACTATGTCACAACTTCCCTATTCTTTTTTTTCAACTTTTATTTTAGGTTTAGTGGGTACATGTGCAGGTTTGTTACATGGGTAAATTTCATGTCACTTGGGTTTGGTGTTTAAATGATTTAGTCATTAGTCATTTACGCCCAGATAGTGAGCTCAGTACCTGACAGTTTTTTGACCCTCACCGTCCTCCTAACCTCCACCCTCAAGTAGGCCTCAGTTTCTATTGTTCCCCTCTTTGTGTCCATGTGTACTCAATATGACTTTCCTATTGAACCCTTTATTTTCTTCTTAATTCATTCAGGTGGAATATGTCTTCAGTACCTTTCTCAAGAATTGTATATATTTTCATTTCTTCCTCTCAGCCCCAATTATCTTTCTTTTGTGTTAACATAAGAAAGCTAACACATTGATGGATAATTTGAGTTTTCCCCTTTTGTAAGTAATTTGCCTGAAAACTTCTTTGTTTGTCTTATGTGTGTATTTTTTTGTTGTTGATAATTCTGTTTTCTATGAATATACCTGTTTCTGCCCTCCCTGGGATGTAGGAAATGCTTTCAGTTTGATATTTCTGTCATCCCAACTGCCATAATAAAGCTCTTCTTTCTTTTTCTGGTTGTGCTCATTGGGTTAATTTCTGGTAGGAACTGTGCATGGCTAAGAACTCTATTACAGATGTGAATCTAAAAAACGTATCCAGGAGGATAGTGAATGATGACAGAAAACCCACTGCAGCAAACACTACCAAAGAGGAAGACTAGCACCTCTTTCAGGAGTGTAAAGCAATAATGTACTCTTCCATGAAATAGTTCACATTTTTACCCATTTTAAACATCATATAGATTTTTTTCTTCTTTTATATTCCTCTAATTTCATATACCTCTACGCTTTATGTTTATCTGGAAGACTCTTATCCATATTTTCTTCATCCACCTTTATAGCATTACATCAGTGGTTCTCTACCATGGCTGCACATTAGAATCTCCTGAGGAGCCTTTGAATACATATTTATTATATGCAGCCCCAATCCCACATAGTTGGACTTGGTTATTCTGGGATGAGTCATAGTAAGTATTGATTGGTATTTGTCAAAAGTTTGCCAAGTGAAATTAGCTGGGTGTTGTGGCCGGCGCCTGTAGTCCCCGCTACTCCAGAGGCTGAGGCAGGAGAATGGTGTGAACCTGGGATGCGGAGCTTGCAGTGAGCCGAGATTGCGCCACTGCACTCCAGCCTGGGCGACAGAGCGAGACTCCATCTCCAAAAAAAAAAACTTTGCCAAGTGATTGGTTCTAAGGGGAGCCAAGATTTAGGACTACTCTCTGCTTTTTATGATAATTAACTGTCATTTCTCCTTAGACTTTTCAATTTATGTCTAACATCAACATGCTTGTCCCCATTATATTTCTTTCTTATGGATTCCTTTCTTATGGATTTTTTTCTCTAATTCTTGTAACAAAATTGTTGTTCCAGGAAAGTATACCTAGTTAATTTGGGTCTTTATAGCCTCTGGCACCCTGCTGTTTATGTGCCTTAGCTTAAGGAGCACTTCTTTATTTGATTATGGCTTAACTTGATTTTCAGGAAAGAGTACTGGACTCAAAGTCAAAATCTGTACATTTTTTTTCCTGATTTAATCACTCGTTAACCTTGCAACCTGGAGAATTCACTTCACCCCAGAGCCTCCATTTTCATAACCTCCCTTTTATCAGTAAAACCATTGTTTTACTACTTATCCTAAAGATTTACTACTAAAATGGGGCCATAGGTACAAAAGTTTCTTGAACAGTTTAACATATTACACACATTATTACTGCTAGATAGGTATAGGGGTAATTATGAATGACTTTTGACGTATGTGAACAAGTGAATTCATTGGTTAAGCTTTTTTCATATCCTTCGTTTGCCGCTTTTTCTGTTTGACAAAGAAGAATCTTGGGTGTTATATAACTGTGCTGCAACATAAATTCAGTTACCTCTCTTTCTTTTCTCCACCTTTAAAAATTATTGAGAGTTTTTCACACAACAGATGGAATATAGGCAAGAAAAATAAAGTCTATGGTTTTCAATGGAACTGGAAGTAGGAGGTTTTGTTTTTGTTTTTGTTTTTGACAGGCTCATAAAAGCCACTGTCTAAACTGGGTAAATCTTGGGTCTTTTGGCTTCCTATACTGTACTTGTAATTTCACATTTTTATTTGCATTGTCACATTAAAGATATTTCAGATAAGATACAGCTATGGGTTTTAGGAAACTGGAGCAGTGTCACAATTTCTAAATAATAATTTTTTTAACTGACCTTAAAACATTTAACTTGAAAATTACAGGAAATGCATTTATAGTTGACATTGATGATGACTTACACTAATTTTTCTGGAAAGAAATGTTTGTATTAAGCAGTTGAAAACATAATTATAATGGTTATTGCACAAAGCCCAGCTTTATAGGGTCTTAAAGAACAAATACCACAAATAGTTTTAGATCATGATTAGATTAAAAATCACTGGTTTTATTTCATTTTTTTTTTTTGGCTACAGGATAAAGAAAAGATCTTATCAGAATAAATTTCTCACCTGCCTTGGGCAGGAGTCATTAGATGTAAGCAAATTTAATGGAGCCTGTGTGCTCTGGGGCCATTCAGCTGTGCTTCAATAATTGCATTTTTTTTTTTTTTCAGTATGAAGGTTGTTTAACATATCAAGTGGCAAAAAAAAAGTTAAAGTACAAGTTGCCTATTTATCTTTCAGGTAAATAACCATAGGTACTTTATAAACTGAGTAGCAATGAATGCATTAACAAATAATAAACTCCAGTCAGGAAAAGAAAATGCTGCTGATAGTGTGCAATTATTATTTCTGTGTCCCTCCTTCATTAGCATTCACATGACTTCAAACTGCTTCTGTCCTTTTTCCCCTTCATTCAATTTACTTTCACTGGAAAACTTTAAGGTTCACTTAACATATATTTGAACAGGTCAATATCATTTTTGATGATTTCTTTTTAAATTCAGCCTTTACAAACAAATTAGCAAGGTTAACTTACTGCAAGATCCAGATCCACATTAACAAATGAATTTTTTTCTTGTTCTTTTCCCCCACAGACTGGATTTCGGTCTTCTATCCACAATCTTCTAGGATCCAGCTTCTGTTCAATCAGTGTTTTGATTTTGCAACTCTAACTCGTAAATATTACACACCAAAGTAACAGCTAAGATAAAACAGCGTTAACAAAATATTATTCATATTAGGAACAGATTTTTTCATTACAGATATCCTTTCAATATTGAATTCTGTTTGATATTTAAAATGTAATTTAATTCCCTTATATAGTTTTTCAGAGACACATCTCTTTAGGAAAGATACCATATTCTGTATATCTATAAAAATGTGTGTATGTAAGGGTGGTAAGATAAAACAAATGACTTAATAATTAACCCATAATTACTTAAACAAATGGACCTAATATGAAGTTGATAGTAGGTCAGTATCAACATGGGAAAAGGACCCTACTGACGTATTATATCATTATTTCTTTATTCAACACTTTTCACTCTTTTAAACAGCTATTTGAATGAGCACTTGAAGGGCATGCTGATGAAATTTGCAAGTGACACAGTTGTTATTGAAATAGCTAATACTTTGAATAATAGAATCAGAATTCAGATTCATATTAAATGATTGGAATTAGGGACTAAAAATGACGAGGTAAAACAAAATAGAGGTAAATATAAACAGTTCTGAATTTCAGTCCCTAAAACCAACATTGTAAAATCAAATGGGAGAGATATTGCTAAACAATAGCACTGAAGAGAAAAGTCATAGAGGTTTTATGACAGTATGCTTAATATGTGTCTGTGGTACATTGTGGCTGCCAAAGCAGCTAAGGAGATCTAAGGGGTTCTATTAACAGAGTTAATGTGGAACATTGTGTTTTGTTATAGGTACCTTTATTTAAGAAGGTTGTGGCTGTAGTAATTTAAGGAAAAGGCAGTATTCTGTAAACAATTGGATCTCAATTCTGTGCAAAAGTCATTCATAGAAAAAATCCTGAAAACTAAAATGATAATGTATTAGCAACATATCTTCAGAAATTTTATAATATGAAAAACTTAAATTTTCTTTTTTATGTTTTTCTATATTTCCTACAATTAACAGAAATTGCTTTTTGTAAAAGGGAAAGATTGCATAAAAGTGGGACACAGAAACAAATGTAATTCGGTGAGTAGAGAGTGACCAGAACAATGAAAGGACAAGCAAGTGGTACCATATGAGGGCTATTTAAAGGAGCTATATATTTAGCCTGAAGTAAAGGCAGCAGGTTACTGGGCCAACGAGAATGAGGATTTTTATAGCAATTCACAATGTTTGAAAGTCCACTGGTACTTTCTTTGGCTTCAGAGGACAATTCAAAGAGCAAGTGGAAGTTATACAGTGAAACAGGTCTTAGCGTGTGTGGCATAGAAACTTTCTAACATTTGGAGCTCCCAAATTGTGACCCAGGAGATTGCCCCAGGCCCATGGGTAGATTTCTTCAAGATTCTACTGCATGTCCCTTGTTTTTTTCCTGTATAATACTGCTTCTTTGACAGAAGAGTTAATTGGAGTGTGTAGAACTGTTTTAGCTGTAGACTAAGTTTGCTTTTTGGAGAGAAATTCCATTCTTCCTTGATGGCTTCTGGCTCCACCCTTAAAGGATGAAGATTTGCCTCCATTAGATAATTTCAAAACAATATGCAACTGGCTCTGAAGACAGTTTTATAGAAAAATTTTTAGAAGTAGTTTGATCCAGGGCATCAAACTATTGGATAAGCTATATACTATTGGATAAGCATATAGTATTCAAAGGTGACAACTTCAAAGGAGACAGCCCTCATTTAAATACATAAAAAAACTGTCTTATTACTTTATCACTTGTTAGTTTTCATTAAAATTTGATGCTTACACAGACACAGTGATGAGAAAATTAAACTCGTGTGGCTTTCCGATTCTATTTGATACATAAAAATCTTGCTGCATGCTTATTATGCCATTGCCTCCTGGTCTACTTTCCTTCTTGGTTTGGGAGCTCATCTTCCCTTCCATATTCTTAGGCTGCCTCTTGTCTGCAGTGAAATTCCTTTTTTGTGTATTTTTTCTTTTTTTTAATTTGAAGGTGATCTATGCTTCTGGAAGAGGTAACCCCATTGTAGGGAAGAAAAGAAAGAGAAATTGTCCCTGAAACTTTGTTTTCATTACTTAGCAAGTTTTACAGTTAATGACAGAAGTTTCTCCTGTGGCCTTTCCTTCCAAAGACTGTGCTTATTTATTTTCCCCAATACTCTCATGTGACCTTGTTTAAAGCTTCATGTAATTCCCAAATAAATTACATTTACTGGTTTACTTCTATCTAGTATTTTATTGACATTTCCAGATAAGTTTAATAGGATGGAGAGAAACAGTGTTCTCTTTATAGACTCAGTGGGCAATTTGACCTTAGCAGGTTAACCTTATCCTGATGTTGAAGGAAGCTATTCTTAATTAGACTCTATCAGTTTCTCCATTATCACCAAGAGAGCCTCTGGTCTGTAATTCCATAAAATCTTAATTCGATTATTTTTCTTTCTGAAAGAAAAGCTTCATATTAGCAAAATCGCAATATTTGGAAATACTTGCTTGTTTTCCAAATACATTGCATATCCTCATCTGTAGCTCAGCCATTTCACACTTTATTTCCTTCAGAAACTCTCAGTTGAATACCATCTGGCCATGGTGATTTATTGCTGTGGAATTTCTCAAGTTGCTCTATTATTTCCTCCTAGGAGATTGCTCTCTACTACTACCCCACTGTTTTTCTCAGAAAGTGCCCTTGGAATAGTCGTTTCCTCACTCTCCTGTACAGCAGAGGTCAATGCAAAATAAAACTAAACTAAACTTCTCTGCTTCTTACATCCTCTAAACCTCACATCCTCTTTACTTGCTGTCCTCATTACCAGAGGAGAAACTCAGCCGTTAGTCCTACCACTCATGGTGTCTATTTAGTCCTTGTGTTTCCTTTTGTCTTTTTTTTTATCTTTTTTTTTTTTTAGATTCTTTCTTCCCCTGACAGTACATTTTTGGTATTTAATTCAGGGGGAAAAATGTCATGTTATAAGATGTTTTAGATATTTTCAACGTGTTCATAAATGTCTCTATGGAATTGTTTCAAGGTTGTTTTTTTTTTTTTAAACCATCCACAAATTTCTCTTTTGACCTTTCAGATAATGTCACAGTATATATATCTCTCATGGCCAGTGTCCTTATATGTCTTCCTAGAAACCTGGATGGTTCTTTAAACTTTTTACTTTTCTCTCAGAGGGCTGCTAACCAGATTTTTTCTTCAGATTTTTAACATATACTTTTTGAAGTCTCACCTTTTGGGTTAACATTAAGAGATGCCCATACCAATTAGAACATGAGCTTGAATTGTGCAGCCTTCCCAATTTCTGAGTTCTACTCCTACACATACTAACCTGTGGTAATTCCTATATTTTACATTAATCTTATTCCTCTTTCATACCTGCCCCAATAAGCCAAGATAAGGTATGTTAATTAATGCTTCTACACATCGTGTTCTTCTGTCATTTATTTGGCTAATAATGGACATAATTAAAATCATTCATTGCAATAACCTTCTTAGAAAAGAATGCTGAACAGTAAAGGTTAAAAGCAATTTGTATTATTCTTTTATATTCTATAGTTAACATTTTTACACCTGAACTTTGTTCAAATAATTATTTTGTTTAAAAAAGGTTACTTAATGTGCTTTCAAGTAGAGTTAATTGTGATTTGAATATATTTCTACCTTTATGCAAAGTACCTTAGCAGAGAATTTTTGAATTTTATAACTGAAGTATTGAAACATCGAAAGTTGAAACTTTCAAAACTCCCAACATGTGTTGTAAATTATCTACCATTTTCAACTTAAGAAAAAAAAAGAGTTAAATACAAATTTCGAGTACTGTATGTGTGATACAGTCTTTCCTTAAGTTTCAAATACAAATACCAGTAGTCACACAGCCACCTGAAGAGAGTCTCTATTTGCTCAGTTTATAAAGGGGAGTAACAGATTATAACAGCAGGGGAAGGAAATGCTGGTTTTGCTTATTTTATTGCTAGCATATCATTTTCTTCACTGGGTAAGGCAGGCTGTCCTAAAAGTAACTTAGGCATATAACTTTTTGGTGCTGGTTATATGGATAGGATATATATGGATATATGAGATATATATATATATATATATGTCATGTCATATATATATATATGATATACATGGAAAGGATGTCTTTCTTGAATTTTGGAATAGATTGAGTCTATCCATCCCAAAGCTACTTTGTACACACACCCATACACACACACACCCATACACACACACACATACACACACACTTCCATATATATCTTATATATGGATATGTATGTACATTAGATATGTATATAGGTATGTTTTATACATATATATTACCTGCCAAGAAATATGCACTATATCGTAATTCTAAAATTTGTCTTTCTACCTGTATCTCAACCAATGGCTCCAATTTCTTCTGATCTTTAAAAAATATGTTAATTGTAATATTTACAAATAAATAGGAAAAGATTCTATTTTAATGAATGCTAGTATGAAAGTTAACCCTCTGTAGTAAAACATATGGCTCTGTCAGGCAACTTACACTATAATAGCTTTCATGATAATATGTAACAGTTAATTAAAAACTCCTTCTGAAAAGGTAAACCAGCAAGTGTTTTTCTGTTTCTCTATGTAGTAGTCAGATTATTTAATGGCTGTACTGTCCAGGAGGATATTTGTACCTTAATACAAATACCATTTCTTACTTGGCATGATTGGAAAGTGAGACATACTATCTTAGCTGAGAGCCCAACATTTATGTATTAAAACTTCTTGGAGCAAGGGTATGTTATAACATTTGCAGGGCTTGTCCTCCAGTGAATTGTCTTATAGAAAATACTACTTGTATTGGTTGCTGTCTCAACTATATGTGAGTACATTTGCAGAAATGTACGTAGGTCACATTCAGTTTAATTTTACATGAGAACCAGATAAGGAATTCTATCTCACAACACAGGGTCTGAAGGAGGCTGTAATCAGGGTTCTCCAAAGTTTCCTGTACTTTCTTTTCTAGCAAGTTATTCTTGTACTGGAGAAGTCAAAGGACAGCTTTTTCTATTAATTTGATTCCATCTTCACTCAAGCAGGATTAAGTTCAAGTCCTAGGTATATTCATAGTATTCTTTCCCAGTTTTTCAGTCCTGATATATTCTTCTCCTTTATTCAGTAATCTTTTCAGTGGTGTTTTCAATTGGGAAGAGAAGAAAAGGAAAGAATTAGATGCCAGTGCTTATATAACCATCTTGCCCAGAAGTATTATTGAAGGATTTTGAAATAGAAAATTATCAGATTACAGTACAAGGCAAGGATGCCCACTCTTGCCACTTATATTAAACATTGTACTAGAAATCCTAGCCAGAGAAATTAAGCAAGAAAAAGAAATAAAAGACATTCAAATTAGAAAGAAGAAAGCAAAATTATTTCTACTTACAGATAATATCATACATATTGAAAAGACTTGACAAAAAAAAAAATCCTGTTAGAACTAATACATAAATTCAGTAAAGTTGCAGAATATAAAATCAGCATACAACAATCAGTAGCATTTCTATATGCAAATAACAAACTATCTGAAAAGGAAATCAAGAAAACAGTCACATTCACAATAGCGACAAGAAGAATAAAATAATTAGGAATAATCTTAACCAAGAAGTGAAAGTCTTGCACACTGAAAATTGTAAAATATTGCTGAAGGAAATTTAAAAAGTCAAACATTAATGGAAATACAGCCATATTCTTGGATTGAAATAATTAATATGTTAAAATGTTCATATTACCCCAAGTGATCTACAGATTCAATGTAATCCTTATCAAATTCTCAATGGCATTCTTTATAAAAATAGAAAAAAAAATCCCAAAATTCATATGGAACCACAAAAGACCACAAGTAGCCAAATTAATCTTTAGGAAGAAGAACAAAGGAATCAGTTTCTGATTTCTAAACATATTATAAAGCTAGGGTAATGAAAACAGAATGGCACTGGCATAAAAACAAGTATAGAGACCAATGGAATAGAATAGAGAGCCTAGAAATAAATGTACACATCTATGGTCAACTGATCTTCCACAGGGGTGCCAAAACATACAATGGGAATGGATAGTCTTTTCAATAAATGGTGCCAGGAAAATTATCCATATCTACATGTGGAAGAAGTGGACCCTTATCTCACACCATATACAACTCAAAATAGATTTAAAACCCTTATCTCACACCATATTCAACTCAAAATGGATTTAAAACTTTAATGCAAGACCCAAAAATGTAAAACTCCTTGAAGAAAACAAAGGAAAAAATCTTGTCATTGGACTGGACAATGATTTTTTTTTATATGACACCAAAAACACAGGCAAGAAAAGCTAAAATAGACATATAGGATTGCATCAAACTAAAAAGCTTCTGCACAGCAAAGGAAAGAGCAGAGTGAAAAGGCAACCTGGGGAGTGAAAAACAATATTTACAAATCCTATATATGTTAAGGAGTTAACATTTAAAATATATAAGGAACTCATGCAACTTCATAGCAAAAAGACAAATAACTTTGTTTTAAAAAGGGCAAAGGACTTGAATGGACATTTCTCCAAATGAGACATACAAATGACAAACAGGTATAAGAAAAAGTACTAAATTTCACTAATCATCAGGGAAATGCCAATCAAAACCACAATGAGGTATCACGTCACACCTGTTAGAATGAGTATCAGAAAAGTGAAAGATAAGTGTTGGAGAAAAGGGAACCCTTGTATACTGTTGGTGGGAATGTAAATTGGTACAGCCATTATGGAAAACAGTATGGAGATTCCTCAAAATTTTTAAAATGTAACTACTGTATGATCCGGCAATCACACTTCTGAGTATATACCCAAAGGAAATTAAATCAATATCTCCAAGAGATATCTGCACTCACATGTTTATTTTAGCATTATTCACAATCACTAAGATATGAAAACAGCCTAAGTGTATATCAATAGATGAATGTCTAAAGAAAATGTGGTATATTTATACAATGAAGTATTATTCAACCTTTAAAAAGGAAATCTAACCATTTTCAACAACACGGATGAACCTGGAGGACCTTATACTATGTAAAATAAACCAGATACAGAAAGACAAATACTGCATCGTATCACTTATATGTGTGATCTAAAAATGTCAAACTTAAGAAATAAAGAATAGAATGGTAGTTACCAGAGGATGGAGAGGAGGATTTGGGAAGATGTTGATTAAGGGGTACAGAGTTAGTTATGCAAGATAAACAAGTTCTGGAGATCTAATGTACAACAGTGTGTCTATAGTTAACAACACTGTGTTGTATACTTGAAATTTGCTAAGAGGATAGATCTTAAGTGTTCTCACAACACACACACAAATGGTAACTGTGTGAGGAGATGGGTATGTTAATTTGCTTGATTGTGGTGAATATTTTACAGTGTTTGCATATATAAAGTCATCAAGTTATACACCTTAAATATGTACAATTTTTAATTCTCAACTATATCTCAATAAAGCTAATGGGGAAAGAAAATGACCAGACCAGATTTGCATTTTGAACATTTCATTATTACTATGAGTTCATTAGAATCTGGTATTCCTCAAGGTTTTTTCCTGTATCTTCTCTTCTCATTTCATCTATTCTTCTTGAGATTTCACTTCATGGCTTCTGTTTCTATATACCAAAATCTAATTAGATAACTCTTCTCTGATGATTCATGGGAAACTTAAATACATGTCAATTTTAACACAATTAATATTGAATTCACCCTTTATTGTCCTTCCCAAACCTTCATCTATTTGGTTTATATATATATATATTTGAAGGAATAACACTTGGTGCCACCATCTTTTAATTTGCTCAAAGCCAAAAACCTGAGACTCATTATTCCCTTTTCTGTCTCCTGTATTCCCCACATCCAATTCACCGGTATTATATATCTTACCTACCATATGCTGCTCTAAAATCTGTTCTCTTCTATACTAATGCTTTGTCTATTACATCCTCTCTCATCTAGTCTATTGCAGCACCTTGTTTATTTGCCTTCTTACCTTCAGTCTTATTTTCTACCAAGGAACTTGACTGAAGCTGGAATGATCTTTTCAGAAGTCAAATTGGATCATATCATTGTTTTGTTTGAATTTCTCAGTGTTCTTTGTGACCTTACTTTCAAGCATAAACTCCTTAAAATGAAACAGAAGGCTATATAGGACCTGGCTTTTGTCTACATTTTTAGCTTCAACTCTTCCACCTTCAGACACTCTCTACTCGAGCTTCTTTCAGTTTCCAGTACTCATCATCTTGAAAACTGATAAGAAAGATTAGGAAAATGTTTCAGGAATAAATATTTCAAATCCCTTCTTTTAAAAAAATTCTCTGTGTTCCACACATCTTTCACTTATTATTTGTTCTGTACACCCCAAAAACTTTACAGTAATTTTTAATGTACAAAAAAGGGGTATTTGAGCTATCACCAGCAGTTATTATCATTAACTGCATAACTATACTTAATATTTTTTATTGATCATTTATTTCATGTATGCCATTGATCTTAAAAGTGAATCTATAAAATATCTAAGTCTACTTTGTGTTACACAGAAGTAAAATATCAGCTCATAGATTTTAGAATATTTCTGGCCTTGTAAAATTAGTTTAGAAGTATTCCCTCTTCTTCAATGTTAGTTTTCTTGAAAGAGTTTGAGAAACATTGCTATTAGCTCTTTAAATTTTTGGTAGAATTCAGCCATGAAGTTATCTGATCCTGGGCATTTGTTTGATGGGAGACTTTTAATGACTGATTCAATCTCAATAGTTATTCTTGGTCTGTTCAGATTTCCAGCTTCTTTGTGATTCAGTCTTGGTAGGTTATAGGTTTCTAGGAATGTATCCATTTTGTCTAGATTGCCCAATTTGTTGTTAAATACAGTTTAACTGTATTTAACTGTTGTTAATAATACAGTTGTTTATAAGTAGTGTCTTATGATCCTTTGTATTTCCGTGTTACCGGTTATAATGTCTCCCCTTCCATTTCTGATTTTATTTATTTGAGTCCTGCCCCTGTTTTTCTTAGTCTAGCTAAGGGTTTGTCCCTTTTATTTAGCTTTTCAAAACAGCTCAGTTTTAGGCCAGGCACAGTGGCTCACGCTGTAATCCCAGCACTTTGGGAGGCTGAGGCTGGCAGATCACAAGGTTAGGAGTTCGCGACCAGCCTGGCCAATACGGTGAAACCCCGTCTCTATTAAAAAATACAAAAATTAGCCAGGCATGGTGACACATGCCTGTAGTCCTGGCTACTCAGGATGCTGAGGCAGGAGAATGCTTGATCCCAGGAGGCGGAGGTTGCAGTGGGCTGAGGTCGTGCCACTGCACTCCAGCCCGGGCAACAGAGCGAGACTGTCTAAAAAATAAAATAATTAAAATAAAATAAAATAAAACTCTGTTTTATTGATTTTTGCATTGTTTTGCCAGGCTCAATTTTATTTATTTATGCCCTAATCTTTGTTATGTCCTTTATTCTGCTATCTTTGGGCTTGTCTTCTTTTTCTAATCCTTTGAGCTATAATGTTAGGTTGTTTATTTGAGATCCTTCTTCCTTTTTGATGTAGGCATTTATTGCTACAAACTTCCCTCTTAGAACTGCTTTTGCTGCATCCCATAAATTTTGGGATATTGTGTTCGCATTTTTTTTGTCTCAAGATGTTTTTTAATTTCTCCTTTAATTTCTTCTTTGACCCAGTAAGATAGGGTCATATGCTCCTTCAGGAGCATATTGTTTAATTTTCACACACTTCTCAATTTTCCATGATTCTTCCTTTTATTGATACCTAGTTTCATAGCATTGTGGTTGAAAAAGATACTTGACATGATTTTAACCTTAAATGTGTTAAGACTTTTTTGTGGCCAAACATATGATCTCTCCTGGAGAATGTTTCATGTGCACTTGAGAAGAATTTCTCTTCTGTTGCTGTCGAAAGGAATGTTCTGTAAATATCTATTAGGTTCCTTTGGCCTAAAGTAGTTCAAGCCCAATGTTTCCTTATTGATTTTCTGTCTGGAAGTTTTATCCAATGTTGATAGTGGGGTATTGAATTTCCTGCTATTATTGTGTTGCAGTCTATGCCTCTTCAGACTTGTTTGCTTTATGTATTTATGTGCTGCAATGTTGGGTGCATATATATTTACCATTGTTTTATCCTCTTGATGAATTGGATTCTTAATCACTATATTATAACCTTTATTGTCCTTTTTACAGTTTTCGACCTAAAACCTATTCTGTCTAAGGTTAGTATAGCTATCTTTGCTCTTTTTGTTTCTATTTGCATGGAATATCTTTTTTATTATTATTATTCCTTTAGTCTATAAGGGTGTTTTAAGGTGAACTGAGTCTCTTGTAGGCAGCATATAGTTTGGTGCTCACTTTTTCATCCATTCTGCCTCTCTATATTTTTGATTGGAGAATTTAAAACATTTACATTCAAAGCAAAGAAGTCACGTGTTGAGATAACTCATAACACAACCTCTAAGAGCTGTAAGCATTTAAGTCTAACTGTAGAAATGGAAAATCTGAAAACTTGAAATAAGGTCCTTCCTGAGATAGTCACTTTCATATATGTAAGCTCATTTTTTTAGAGATTATATGACCAGTCTTCTTATCTGTTCTTTTAAATAAAAATTCTGTCATTTTATTTCTAAAAATAATTATAGAATAATGGTGTGTTCAGTGGGAGTCTGGGAACAAATAAAAATCATATTTACCCACAAAACAATTCGAGTTTTAAAAATGGTATCTACTTGTTCTGTTAGCCAGTAAGCCTGGTAGAGATAGGAAGAGATTTCAAGAGTGTGTGTGTGTGTGTGTGTGTGTGTGTATGTGTGTGTGTTTTAGTTTGAAAGGTACATGAGGTATTCAGTTCTTGTATCCAGTGGATTTATCAAGAATTATAGACAGACTAGAAATTGCTTCTCAGAGTGATTATACCTTTTCTAATATCACCTACTGATTTTACAGTAAAACTCTAGGCTACAAAGGTTGAGATGAGAACACAATTCACTTTACTTGACTCTTAAAAATAGCATTGTTAACCATTTTGTGATGTCTCTCTCTTCATGTATTGGGCTGTACTGAAGAGATAAACCTCCACTTGCTTTCATGACATAGATAATAAATTGATATAATTCAGCTGAGAAGTTGAAAAATGCATTGAAAATAATGGAGCATAACATTGTAGGGTTAACATTTATTCATAGATGATGCAATTAAATAAAACAGGCATTAACTTCAAGGTCAGTAAGTAAAGTAATAAAATTGAATATTTTAATTGAATTGTAATTGCTTCCCATTGATACATGCAAGTAAAGTAAAATAGATGTCAGCTCTGCAAATTATGGTTCTTCCTCCTAATTAATTTCTTAATTCTGCATGGAGTTATCAGTGCCTAGGTCTTGTGAGTTTATTCATCCACCCAGCTTCCATCAAGGAATGTCTGTATGACATGATGAAATGGCTAGGTGTCAGAGTTTACAGTAAATTTTTTCTGCACTTTGGCAAAAATATTGTTAGTAACTCAAAGTAATATATTCATGTATTAGAGTTAAAATGTACTTTAACATCATCATGGATCCTATGGATTATAATCTTCATTAATATTGATATTTCTTGATATTGATATTTATGTCAACATTAACTAATGTAATTGTCTCAGTGATTATAAAGGTTTTTGTAGGGAGATATATACATAAAGACTCACATTCCATAATTAACTGGCTCAAGCGGTAAATTGTACTGACCGCTGGGATTTTGGTGAAGCACAGTTTGTGTCTGTTCACGACCCAAGCTTTACTAGAAAAGAGACACCTAAATTGAATAAATTTAAAAAAGAAAAATCTTTTCCAAGGACTGAGGTAAATCGAAGCTTTTAGATAAAGTTGAATTGCATTGAAAAAGCCCATGAGCTGTTGTGGCTTTTTCAGAGGCTTTTAATAGCTCCTCCAAAGGTTTTAATGTAATGCAGTTTTATGTAAAATAAAATGAGAATGATGATATTACAAAGATTAAGAGAGATTTTTAAAGCATACTGAAATTGTATTGGGTCTAGATACTAGGGTTTATTTAAAGAAAAAGAAAATTGTGCCTTTTGGACCAGCTGCATTTACCAGTTAAATGGCTACTGCTTAGAAATTGAAAATGGAATGGATATGTAAGATGGATTTTAAATTTACTGAGATATTATTATATATTCATATACTTTAAAATGATTTTATAGGATAGAATTATTTCAGTGCAAATATATTGGTATATTAGCATCATTCTTCAGTTGTGCTTAGAAACGTAAGTGGGTTCTTCTTGTTGGTAAAGTAAATAGAGATGTTGTGATGTCTAGCTTTTGTGTTAAAATTTAACTCAGACATTGACTTTTTTTAAAATGTTTCTCTCTGAACCATTTAAAACAAAAATCTAAAGTAAGTCTATTGAGAAATATATTTTATTGATGCTAATATGACCCTGACCTTCCATTCTCAATTAAGAAGGATCATTCAGAAATCTTTGTGTGTTATCATCTAGTTAGAAAATACTAAAACCAAAATACATAAAATAAAAAACTAAAATCTTAGAGCTTCATAATTATAGATAAGCTAACAATTTTTCACACTAAAAAGATCTGTTTTTTCAGATCTTTGTTTTAAAAGTATTTTAATAATTACCTTATTCCATTTAGGGAAATGAAAGTAAATATTATAAGCGCTGTACATACAATGCTTAGATGTTAGTAAATGAGGAAACTTGTGGAATATGTGGAAGTGCAAGAAAATTAAGTATTCAATCTTTATACTTATAAAAACAATTACTATGAGTTTTGTTTTCATGTATTAATAGTTTGATATTTATGGAATCATTGGTATGCTAAGCATTAAAGAATTTCTTGAGGAAACTTCTATATCTGAATATATTCTGGAGTAGGATGAATAATCTTCCTACAACATCCCTAACATCCCTAATATCACCCGGTGCATAATAGTTTCAGATGATTTAGAAGAGATCTCAAAGATCAGGGTGGCTTCAGGCCGTTGCTTTTGCAAGGACGGTAGCTGGAATTGCTAGGAATCTCTGGATTTTATCCAAGAAAATATATTCTATGAACAGTCTGCAGTACATGGCATATGGACAGTGATCATGAGGTCCCCAATGACTTGTCACTTTCTAATGAACAGAAAAATTGAAGCAAAGGCAGACTGTGCTCAGATAAAGTATTCAGATATTCAGATAAAGTAACCAGCAAGGCATCAGGAGATAAAGACATATGTAGTTATTATAATCAAGTACAGTGGAACATGTTAGCCTGATAGAAGTAAATATTATATGCTGTGTTGAATTAAAGTATAAAAATCCATTCAGAAGAGTCTGCAGGCTATTATATTGAATTTAAACAAGTAGTTTCATTACTAAAACCTGGACATTTTATGGAAAAGAATTATAGTCTGTTTAAATAGTATCACCTCATGATATAGGAACACCTAAATCATTGTTCATGCCAAAAAAACCTACCTAAATCACCTGACGTAACCTCTGAAAAATATGTTTTAAAATTGTTTATTTCTTACATTCTGCTAGTTCCTTGGTTTTAGATGTCCTTTGAAACCATCTTTCATGTATGTGAAATGTTGATTCTATTGTTCTGCCCTGTGTGAAATGTCTAAAACAAGCTTATTCAACCTGCGACCCAGGACGGCTTTGAATGCGGCCCAACGCAAATTTGTAAACTCTCTAACACTATGAGATTTTTTTGATTTTTTTCCAGCTAATCAGCTATCGTTAGTGTGAGTATATTTCATATGTGGCCCAAGACAATTCTTCTTCCAGTGTGGCCCAGGGGAGCCAAAAGATTGGATACCCATGGTCTAAAACATCAGGCCCATGAATCATAGCAGCATATACACCCTCACTAAACTTTACACAGACCCCATTACCAAACCTATAGGTACACATGAAGTTTATTTTATTATTAACTCTGAGAGAAAAGAAATTTGGCTCTTAAATATTTTAGGTATTTTCTAGTTTTACAATAATCTCCTTTTGTAGTGAAATGATCTCTAATATGTCTCAGGAAAATGGTTGAAAATTTTTCTCTAATGTTTTAAATGTTATTTACTTCAATGATTTTAGCTTCATAGAATTTTTAGTGCTTAGCCCAAGAATAACTAAATTGAAAATACTTTCATGAATACAGAAAAGTGTTTAAATGGCCAACTAATTTTTACCAAGGTATACCTGTGTGAAGATCACAGGTTCATGTGGAAAGTGTGCCCAGTGTGTTTTATATTTACATTATTTACTGACTCATATTTAAAGGCAACCCAAATAACTTTATCCACTGTGGAATACAGCCATCTCTGAAATGAGATGTAACTGCTATTTCTATATTTTAACAATTCTGAACTGGGGCTTGATACTCTGCAACGAATTAAAAGACTGCAAGAAAAATGAGATCTTATGGTGCCTACCTGTGTAAAGCTCTATGCTCTTAAATTCCCTTTCATGCCTTATAGGCATATATTTGCATATATTTACTTCCAGACTCGTACATAGAATGCAAAACACAAATTCTCAAATTCAATCATGGGAGACTTTTTAAATGATGCCCTAATGCTGACTGTGTTATATGTATGTGTTGTTACACACACACACACACAGTTAGAGGGAAGGCTAAAAAGTGACTTCCAGCCATGCTGACCTTGTATATTCATGCTTTGGATTTTAACATATTTCCCAAACCCATGGCAGTCATAGATGAATATAAGAAGGAAAAATGTGAAAAACGTAATTGTACTGGAAAACATTGTAAACATCTCTGTTAGCTAGAAATGAAAAGACAAAAAGTAGTGAACAGGACTGAAGTTGTGTGCTGTAATGTAGGGATCCAGGAAGCAGGCAAAAGCAGTTGGAAGATCATGTCCTGTTGGGAAACAGAAATGGGAAGTGCCCTACAAGAGGGAGAACCTCAAAGAGATCAAGAAAAATATAAAATCTATTTGTTTAAAAAAGTGATTATTAGAAAAATAAATTGCCTGGAATGAAACAGTAACAGAGTGATGTGAAAACCAATTAGAAATTTTAGAAATGAAACATAGTCATGAAAAAAAACTTCAGTGGGCAGAATAAATGCTAGTCACGTCAAAGAGAGAATGAGTGCAGCAGAAAAAAAAGAGAAAAAGTAATTCACCAAGAAGGCATAGAGAGAGGAAAAAAATAGAAAAAGCCACAGACAGAGGAAAAAAATAGAAAATGCAATTAAAACATGGAGGCTAGATTGGGAAATTGAAATATTTGTGTAATAGGTGTTTCAAGGAAAAAATAGAAGGCAGAAAAGCAGATGTAATAGCTGAAAATGCTCTAGATTTGAAGAAAGACATGAGTTTTTGGATTAAAAGTACGCATTAGGTGCTGTCCAGTACTAATTAAAATAAACATGTGCCTAGACATATTGAATTAAGATTGCAAAATGTACTAAGTATGTTGAAAATTGTGTCATAGGTACATTGAAAATTGTACAATCTAGCATATAGAAAATAAAGATTCCTTATATGGGAGCCACTATCATACTGACATCATAATTTTCATTAGGAACAACAAATGCCAAAAGTAATATATTGCAACTAAACTATTGTGAGAGTAACATAGAGACATTATGAGACCTATAAAAACTGGGAGAGTATACCACTCACAGATCATCAGTGAAAGAATAAAGAACAAATTTCAGTTAGAAATAGATTGATTCAAGGAGAAATGAATGAGAAACAATAGTGAGCATAAACATTGTAAATATGTTGATAACCTTAATTTTTCTTGCTAAAAATAATGGAACAAAAATTCAACACAATAATAATAGTAATGATGAAGCCTGTT
The DNA here is from genome assembly GCF_000001405.40 of Homo sapiens. Lineage (NCBI taxonomy): Eukaryota > Metazoa > Chordata > Mammalia > Primates > Hominidae > Homo > Homo sapiens. The sequence continues at coordinate 35,414,035 of NC_000015.10, read as the reverse complement.
TAGTGCCTAGTTAAAACATACTAAGTTCTGGTCTAAAGGATGCTAAAGATACTTAATACATTAAGACTTTAAAAATATGGTTTTGAATGTATGTAAAAAATCACAGATGATTATCCGAAAAGTAGAAATTCACTCTATAGCATTCTGATCAGCAGAGTAAAACATTAAAATAATTTTCAATTCAGTATGAGGCAGAAAAAAATAAAAGAAAAATATATAAAGCTTAATGTACAGAAAATTTATACTCAGATGGTAGAAACAGGTCCAGCCATATAATATAAAATGATTAAACTCAATTCTTTGGAGTCATATTTATAAGATTGGGTGGAACAAAAGAAATCCAATTATATGTGGGCATCTAAAACAAAAACAATACAAAAAATTTGAGAACAAATAATGGAAAATATATATAAGAAAGATATTAGCAAAAGAAAGCTGGTGTCACAGTGTTCATAGAAGACATATAGATTACAAGATAAAAATCTGATGGAGATGAAATAGTCACTACTTCTTGATAAGCAGAATAATTCCATCAAGAAGTTTTAGAAATTATGAGTTTGTGCACATATAACAACATAGCTTTCAAATATATTAAGGAAAAATGACAGAATTGTAAGAAGAGATTATTAAAACCAAAATCATAATGGGTGTTTTTTTAATCTTATTATTAGAAACTGATGGTTCATGGAGATCAAAAATTTTTAAGGCCATAAAAGATGTGAACAACAAAATTAACAAGTATGATCATGATTTTATGTGTTTAGGTACATAATCTTGCTTTCAACAGATAGAAAACATACTTTCATTCGAGCAGAAATGGAGCATTTATGAAATTTGATTATGCTCTAGACCACAAGGAAACTTTACCAAATTTTTTTATTTTATTTTGTTAAAGCAGTTGTAGGTTCACAGCAAATTAAGAGAAATGTACAGAGATTTTCCATTTACCCTGACCCCATACCGCATGACCTCCCCCATTATCAACCTCCCCTGCTAGAGTTGTACATTTGTTAAAATTGTTGAACTTACAATGACACATCATAATCACCCAAAGTTCATAGTTTACATTAAGGTTCACTGCTGGTGATGTACATTCTACAGGCTTCGACAGATGTATAATAACATGTATTCATCATTATAGTATCGTGCAGAGTATTTTTCTACCCTACAAATCATCTGTGTTCTGCCTATTTAACCTTGTCTGCCCCCTACCCAAAACCCCTGGCAATCACTGGCCTTTCTACTATCTTCATAGTTTTATCTTTTCCAGAATGTCATATAGTTGGAATCATACCATATGTAGCGTTTTCAAATTGGCTTTTTTCACTTAGTAATATACATTTACATTTCCTCCATGTATTTTCATGGCTTGATAGCTGCTTTCTTTTTAGCACTGAATAATATTTCATTGTCTGGATATACACAATTTACTTAGTCGTTCACCTACTGAAATACATTTTGGTGCTCCAGATTTTGACAATTATGAATAAAACTGCTATAAATATCCATGTGCAGGTTTTTGTGCAGAAAAGGGTTTTTAATACCTTGGGTAAACACCAAGGAACACCACAGTTGGATCGTATAGTAAGAATATGTTCAGTTTTGTAAGAACCTCCCAACTGTCTTACAAAGTGACTGTACCATTTTGCATTCCAATCAGCAATAGTATTGCTCTACATCCTTGCCAGCTTTTGGTGTTGTAAGTTCTCCAGATTTTGGCCACTATAATAGGTGTGTAGTGGTTTCTTCTTCTTGTTTTATTTGCATTTCTCTGGTGACATATGATGTGGAGGATCTTTTCATATGCTTATATATATCTTTAGCGAGGTGTCTGTTAAGGTCTTTTGCCCATTTTTAAATTGGATTGTTGTTTGCTTATTGTTGAGTTTTAAGAGTTCTTTGTATATATTAGATAATAGTCCTTTATCAGATGTTCTTTGCACATATTTTCTCCCAGTCTGTGGCTTTTATTCTTACTCTCTTTACATTATCTTTCACAGAGCAGAGGTTTTTTAATTTTAATGAAGTCAGCTTATTAATTGTTTCCTTAATGGATCGTGCTTTTGGTGAGGTATCTTAGAAGTCATCACCATACCCAAGACCATCTAGATTTTTTTCCTGTTATAGGAGTTTTATAATTTTGCATTTTGCCTTTATGTCTACAATCTGTTTTAAGTTAATTTTGTGAAGAGTGTAAAGTCTGTGTCTAGATCCATTTTTTTGCATGTGGATATCCAGTTATTTCACACCATTTGTTGACAAAACTGTCTTTGCTCTATAGTATTGCCTTTCATTACATTAACTTTTGTAAATGAAACTATGCCAATATATGTAAATATGAATGTAAATATCCAAAATGAATTCATTTATTTCATAGCCCACTTGTGACATGGGATTTTTTTTCCTAGCTGGTTAGTCTTGGTGTATGGAAAGCATTCATATTGCTCACACTTGTCTCCCACACCCCATTACCTATATAAACTCTACTGTTATGTCAGTTGAATCTTTATTAAAGGTTACGCACACGCTATTGGCACAGTAATGATTTTTCAGAGTTGTCTCTATCTTTACTTGAAAAATACAGTGTTGCGAAGGAGTCATTGAAATGAAATGTCATTTAATTTAATAATGCAATTATTTGTGCCCATATGCCACTGTTAAGTGAATTAATTACATAAGCATAACAGTCTACTGCTATTTTCTACTCTTATTGTCTAAGAAGTTTGAAGTTTAAATAAAACAGGGATAAATCAGAAAATTAATGCTGTTGTCCATCAGTAAAATAAATCATAACCATTAAAATATAAAGAATTAAAATTTCATGTAATTGAAATGATACTCTTTTTTTCTATCTAATTACTGCTCCTCAAAATGGATAAAGGAATTGAAACAATGCGTCTGGTAGTTGACACAGTGCAATTGAAATAAGTGGAAACTTACTTTTCAGAAGCAATAAAACCAGTTACCCAAGGGGAATAGAAAAGTAAATACTAGCAAAGTACATTTTACTTTATGATCAAAGCAATTCAAAATATATACACACTGCTTTTCTAGGTGAGGAGGGGCCAAGGGAAGGGGAATGTGTCTTTAAAGTTCCTATCTGATAGTTATCTTTAAAAAATGTAACCTTTCTTGGCAGGTTTAGATCCTGATAAGCATCTTGGGAAAACCCTGGATCAAATGGAGCCTTATCTCATAGAGGTAAGAATTTATACTAGATCTCAAAATGTAGCCATCTAAAGGAGAAAACAAAATAATGCTGTGATACAATGATTAAAAAATTTACTTTATTTTAGTAAAAATCAAATACATTCATAATATATTTATGAAAAAATTAAACTTCAAATGGAAATGAAAATGTTTAAAATTATAAAAATTAATTACCAACTTGTTAACCCAGATATGACACAGTTATACCTAAGAAGAAATTAGTCTGTCAGAAAGTCTATTTTTATTAAAATGAGCACCGTATTCTATATAAAATGTGCTATACTATTAAAGTATCTGATAGTTTCTGTGATCACATGCTTTTTCATCAGAAACAGGAGTAGAAACTTTCTTTAGAGATTAATGTAACCCCTTCTCTTTTACCAATTAGGAAATTAACTTGCAGCATAGTAAAAAAAGTTATCCCAAGATTTCAAATTACTCTACTTAACTTCTCATTGTGAAACCCTAAACATGTTCTAAACATTAAATATTCAGTTGTTTTCATTTACTCTTTCTATTAAATGTACTATATTTTATTAGAGTTTTAGAACAAATGTTATGTTTAGTCTGGCAATGCATCATTAACTAGAATGTTTAATTATTACACTATGTGGAGTATTTATATTCTACCATGATGATGGAAAAAAGAAAATCTCCTATGAAAGAACCTATCTCTTTTAACAAGTCATCATTTTCTTGTCCCATGCTCTTAATTCATCAGTATTGTCTCTAGGCTTTGTTAATACCACTGCTGTGATATGAACTCTTAGCAGTTACACTTTTCAATAACTTCATGGGTTTTACCTTTTTTGGGGAGTTATTTGTAATTGATTATTTTATGGTTTATGAATCAATATGTACCAAATGCCTAGAAATCTCCGAAATGTTATTTTTTTCATAGTGTTAATTCCTTAATAATTATTATTAAGCATCTAGTATATTCCAGGCAGATAGTAAAGATTAAAAGAAAAATGAAATGATTATGTAATTGTGATAAATTATATTTGGTTTCTAGATAATTTGATGTCATTTATTTAAGTCAATTTATGGAACATGGTTGCTTTCTATGCTTATGTGATAGGACTTTTCTCACAGTGATTTGTTCTGTAGCTCCATTATATCATGTTTACATCTGTTCACTGCCATCAGACTAAATTTAGCTTCTACCAAAATGTTGTATAAATTTATGGAAATGAAAGAGAAATTCAGAAGTGAGAGACTGTGGCATTAGCCAAAGTTATTGGCCAAAAGAGCTATTTCCGAAATTTGAAGTCATAAGTTTAGATTTTAAGTGTGTTGCTATTCTTTGTAGAAAAGGCAAGTAAGGTTTTGAGAAGCACCACGATGTTGATTATGAGTTAACCTGGGTATTATCATAGGATGTTTAAACACAAAATGCAGAAATCATTTTATTCAATGATTCTTCAGCAAGTTCCTCAACTTGGTCTGGCAATCTTGTATTTCCCTAGAATTATTTTCCTCCCATTCTCCATAATGGTAATTTTATTCCTTCTCCATTCTCCTCAAATTTAAAATCCCTTCACCTTCCCCCTTACTTTAAGTGGATGATGCATCTTCCTTCACAGAGGAAATAGAAGCCATGATATAGGAAATCACCCTGCCTCCCTCCCAACCCCAGCACCACCCCTACTAATTTCCCTCTACCTACACCTATCCTTGCTTACTGTAACTGGGAGAAGTGTTCTTTCCTATTTATATGGCTGAGGCCCTACCTGTGCTTGGATCCCATTCACACCTGTCTTCTCAGAGATCTTGCAGTCAACCCACCCCCTCGACTGTCTTTATTCTCGCTCTCTTTGTCTCCTTCATATCAATATCAAAACATAATACAGATTGTCCCATCCTAAAGACCCCCTTTCTCCACCCTAGTTCTTCTCTGACTACCTCTCTTTCTTCTTTGCTTCAAAACCAAAATATTTAGAAGTGTTATCTGTATTCATTGTCAGTACTACTTCATGTCTGAGATGCCTCAAGTACCTGGAATCTGTCTTCTCATTCTGCCTCTAAACGGATACAGTGCTGACCAAAATCACTCACGATACCCATTTTACCAAACACAATAGATACTTCTTAGTCCTTATTTACCAGTTACAAACACATCTTCTTGAAATGTTTCTACTTACATTCATGGAACCACACTCTCCTAGTTTTTCTCCTTTCATTCTGGATAGTCCTACTCTTTTTCTGACTCCTAGTTTAGGCTCCATTTTCCGTCTAGAAACTTTCTCTAGGTAATCTCAGTTGCTCACTTGACTTTAACTATTAGCTGTATTCTGATGACTCCCAAGTCTTTCTGGTCCATATTTATCAGCTAAGCTTCAGTGCCCACAGATACCACAAATTCAATCTCTACTTACTCGATGGTAGCCTTGATATCCATCATTTTTTGCCATTCTCTTTGTCATCACCTTAATTCAGATGTGTGTTACTTCAGGCCTAGAATATTACTGACACCTCCAGATTTGCCTCTACCTTCTATTTTATTTCCCAAAGAATTCCTGTTGCTTCTTGCCTCAAGATAATTGTGCTAATATATTCTACTGTATTTGTGTCACTCAGTCAAAACTTTAAGTGAGTCCTCATTGCCTACAGGCAAAAATCCAAATTCTTTAGACTCCTCTTTCCCTCACCTGCTATATCTAACTCATTAACATGATCTTGTCTGCTGTATTTCCGAATATATTCTATTATAAATCCAAGCACTTCTCACTGTCTCTACTACTACCACCATACCATAATCACCTCTTGTCTGGAATACTACCTCAACCCCTAACTGGTCTGCTTACTTCCACCATTGCCCTGCCATGATCCGTTATTTATATAGATGTCAGAATGGTATTTTTAAAGTGTAAATCATATCATACCCCTACTTTGTTTAAAATGTAAGTGGGTTCTTGTTGCAATTAGAATAACATCCAAACAGCTATGAGGTCACAACTTGTGAGACCCTGTACGATCAGCATCCTATCCACCTTTTCAGGCTCATCTTCTACCGTTCTCCTATTCTCTGTCTCATTCCCTTAGCTGTAGCCACGTAGGTCTCTTTATTACTTAAACACACTTTATTCTCCCTTTTTCTCATTAGGACCTTCCCCTGCCTGAAATGTTTTGTCCACAGTCTATCACTGGTTAATACCTTCTCATTATTTAAATGATAACTCAAATGCTACCTCCTCAAAGAAGCTTTCCCTGACTACCCTAGCTAAAGCAGATCTCTGCAAATTATTTTATTTGTTCATCTGTTTACATGTGTATTACCTACCCTGTACCATTACAATGTAAGCTCCAATAATCTTGCCAAGATTTTGGCAGATGTTAGTTCTTTGGTTCTTTCATTCAGTAGCTTTTCATCTCTCCATCTATTCATTCATCTCATTTTTAAATTATTGAATATTTGTTGAGGGTCTATTATGTGACAGATGCTATGGTGAACACTAAGTATACATGATGAGTTAAACAAACAAGGTACTTGTTCTTGAAGAGTTTACAATTTGCTATAGTTGTTTTCAGACCTGAGGGTGTAATTCACTGGAAACCTTCTTTAAAAAAAAATGCATAAATTCTTTTTCCATCCCCACAAATTTCCGCTCCGAGGGACCAGAAATCTGACCTTTAAACAAGCACGAGGTAATTCTGTCACATTAATATAGTATGTAATCTTCTAGTTTCTCAATACCACTGACACATTTCAGCTCCTGTCTTTCTGGATTTCTCTGAAAGAGTGTGTTGCTTCTTGAAACTGTCATCCATTGGCTTCTGTGAGGCTACTCACTCCTGAAATCTTTCTGAGTACTTCCTTAGCTTTCCTTTGGGGCTTTCCACGTATACTCCACCTTTTATATATTGTGGTTCCCTCCATAGCCTTCCTCCTGTGGTGATCTGAAATAGTCCCATGACTTCAACTACCAGTTTTATTCTTGTAACAACTAAGTCTATTTCTCCAACATTTTCCTGTGTTTCAGACATGTATATGTATTCAGCTGTACCTCCACACTGTCATCTATTAAATGTCCCCAAGCCCCTCAACCTCAACAGCAGAACTAAGCATTTCTTTCTTAACTTATCTATGCCATTTTTATGTTTCCTGACACTGAAGGGCTGGCCCCATTGTCTGCTCAGTTGTTCAAGCCAAAAAAATGAATTGTAATAAATAATTTCATATACTCCTTTGTTCCTAAGAACCTAAGTCCTTTTAATTCTACCTTCTTAATATCTTACTATTTCCTCCTTTTTATCCTCACAGTCACCACATTAGCATCTGCTGTAGATTATTGCAGCAGTCATCTAGCACAAGTATCTCCTCCCTGTCTTGCCCCTTGTCAGTCAATTGTCCACAGTCCCATCATGATATATATGAAATGCAAAGCTAATCATATCATATTACACTTTCCTTGTGAACTTTGGAGTTGCTCCCCATGCTTCAAAATAAAATTTAAACTGCTTACCCTGACACAATCTGTCCTTGGGGGAAAATGAGGCTTATAAGATAGGTAGTCAATGGAATACTCCCTATGCTTCATCGATTTTGAACTATCGATGGTTTCCCAGAGTGAATATCTCCTCCTACCTCCATGTTATCCTTCCCTCTCTGCATGCATTATCCCTTTGTCACTCAGCTAAATCTCTCTTTAAAATCTCAATTCAAAGCTCACTACTGTAAGGTTTTCTTGCTTAAATAAGCTTTCTTTGAGCTGCCATTTTTCTCTTGCCTCATGGCATATAATATTTATCATACTATTTTTTCTTTTAAATAGTGTGTATTAAATATAAAATTAAAACATGCGATACGTGCGTGAAAAATAAATTCAACACAATAAAATAATGAAAAGTCTTCCAGTGACACCAAGCCCCTAGTATAGAAAGAACATACCTCAACATTTGATAAACTTCAACATCCCTTCATGATAAAAACCCTCAAAAAACTGGGTATAGAAAGAACATACCTCAACATAATAAAAGCCTTATATGACAGATCCACAGCGAGTATCATACTGAATGGGGAAAAACTGAAAGCTTTTCCTCTTAGATCTGGAACATGACAAAGATGCCCATTTCACCACTGTTATTCAACATAGTACTGGAAGTCTTAGCTAGAGCAATCAGACAAGAGAAAGATATAGAGCATCCAAATTGGAAAAGAAGTCAAATTATCCTTGCTTGCTTAGGATATGATTGTATATTTCAAAAAACCTAAAGAGACCAACAAAAAACTATTAGAACTGATAAACAAGTTCAGTAAAGTTGTGGGACAGAAAATCAACAAACAAAAATCAATAGCATGTCTATATGCCAACAGTGAACAATCTGAAAAAGAAATCAAAAAAGTAATCCCATTTACAATAGCCACAAATAAAATTAAATACCCAGGAATTGACCAAAGAAATGAAAGATGTCTACAAAGAAAACTATAAAACACTGATGAAAAAATTGAAGTGGACATTAAAAAATGAAGACATTCTATGTTCATGGATTGGAAGAATCAATGTTATTAAAATGTCCATACTACCTAAAGCAATCTGCAGATTCACTGCAATTTCTATCAAAATACCAATGACATTTTTCACAACAATAGTAAAAAAAAAATCCTAAAATTTATATGGAATCCCAAAAGACCCAGAATAGCAAAAAGAACAAAACTGGAGGGATTGCATTACCTGACTTCAAACTCTGCTACAGAGCTATAGTAACCAAAATAGCATGGTACTGGCCTAAAAACAGACACACAGACCAATGGAACAGGATAGAGAACCCAGAAACAAATCTACACACCTGTAACAAATTCATTTTTGACAAAGATGCCAAGAACATACATTGGGGAAAAACAATCTCTTCAATAAATTATGTAGGGAAAACTAGACATCTATATGCAGAAAAATAAAACTTGATCCCTCTCTCTCACCTTATACAACAGTCAAATCAAAATGGATTAAAGACTTAAATCTAACACCTCAAATTATGAAACTCCTACAAGAACACATTGGGGAACTTCTCCAGGACACGGGTCTGGGCAAAGACTTCTTGAGTAATACCACCCCCCAACCAGGCAACCAAAGCAATAGTGGACAGATGGGATTGCATCAAGTTAAAAAGCTGCACAGCGAAGGAAACAATCAACAAAGTGCAGAGACAACCCACAGAATGGGACAAAATATTTGCAGACTACACATCTGATAAAAGATTTATAGCTAGAATATAGAAGGAGCTTATACAACTCTATAGGAAAAAAATCTAATGATCCAATTCAAAAATGGACAAAAGAATTGAATGGACAGTTCTCAAAAGAAGACACACAAGTGTCAAACAGACATAGGAAAAGGTGTTCAACATCATTGATCACCAGAGAAATGCAAATCAAAACTACAATGAGATATCTCTCACACCAGTTAAAATGGCTTTTATCCAAAAGATAGGCAATAAATATTGATGAGGATGTGGAGAAAAGGGAACCCTCATATGCTGTCTATGGGAATGTAAATTAGTACAACTACTCTGGAGAAGTGTTTGGAGGCTCCTCAAAAAACTAAAAAATAGAGCTACTATATGATCCAGCAATCTCACTGCTAGATATATACCCAAAAGAAAGGAAATCAGTGTATCAAAGGTATATCTGCACTCCCATGTTTGTTGCAACACTGTTCACAATAGCCAAGATTTGGAAGCAACCCAAGTGTCCATCAACATATGAATGGATAAAGAAAATGTGCTGCTTACACACTATGGAGTACTGTTCAGCCATTAAAAAGAATGAGATTCTGTCATTTGCAGCAACATGGATGGAACTGGAGGTGATTATGTTAAGTGAAATAAGCCAGGCACAGAAATACAAACATCACACATTGTCACTTATTTGTGGGATCTAAAAATCAAAACAATTGAATTCATGGAAATAGAAACTAAAAGGATGGTTACCAGAGGCTGGAAATGGTAGTGGGGGACCACCAGGGAGTTGGAGATGGTTAATGGGTACAAAAAAAAAAAAAAAGGAATGAATGAATAAGCTGAGCAGGATGGCTTATGCCTTTAATGTCAGCACTTTTGAGAGGCCAAGGTGAGTGAATCACTTCAGTCCAGGAGTTCAAGACCAGCCTGGGCAATGTGGCAAACTGTCGACTACAAAAAATATGAAAAAACTAGCCAAGCATGGTGGCACATGCCTATCCCAGCTACTTAGGAGGCTGAGGTGTGAGGATCACCTGAGTCCAGGAAGTCGAGGCTGCCATGAGCCATGATTGTGTCACCATACTCCACCCTGGGTGACAGAGTAAGACCCTGTCTCAAAAAAATAAAAATAAAGAAAGGATGAATAAGACCTAGTGTTTGATAGCACAACAGGGGGCCTATAGTCAATAATAATTTAATTTTACATTTTTAAATAACTAAAAAAGTGTAATTGGACTGATTCTAACATAAAGAATAAATACTTGAGCAGATGGATACTGATACTCCATATATATATATATACCTACTATGTACCCATAAAATTAAACAATTTTTAATGCAAAATTTAAAAACAAAACAGCAGAAAAATAAAAATAGCTATTGCTGAAAATTCAAAATATAATCAAGTGAAAGAAAGCAAGTAAAAACCATACCTTTCTTGCCCCATGGTGTACATGATCCACATATTGGTATATTCCCTCATGATTTATTTCCTGAGAATTTGTTTTATATACAAGGTTATGTAGTTAAACACTTGTGTATATTTTATTTACATAATGGGATTCAACTATACATACAATTTTGCCTCCTTTTTCTTCTAACATGCCATGTTCATTTTCCTACATAATTAAGTATACTTTGAAAAGACATTAATTAATGGCTGGGTAGATTTTAATCATATTTGTATTTTACATATGAAGGTATCATTATTTACTTATGATATATGCATAATGAAATAATTATATAAGATATTATAAGTTATCTGTTGTTGGAAAGATTGGTTTTTCTAAATCATTAAAAATAACATTATGATTGTCATCTTTTCTAATAAATCTTCATGCACATTTCTGGTTATTTTCTTAAGTTCCTAGGAATATAATTTCTGGGTTAAAGAATACAAAACTTTAAGGCTTATACACTAACTACTCCATGAAATAATTTTAGCCATTGTTTCTTAAACTTCTGTAGAATTTTTAAATTATAATCTTATAAGCAAATAATGGATTATATAATGGTTTTATGTTTTGTGGGGCTTTATGTCCTAAGACCATTTTCTCATTTTCCAAAGAGAAGGTAAATTTTAATACAAATTGCACTATTAAAGGTTTAGAACTATTCTTTGAACAGCTTCCTTGTTTATTAATAGTATTCTAATTGTGTAAATTTTTTCAAGAGAATTAGTTTATTGATTATACATGATAATGGATGATATACAAGCTTCAGTCCCATCTATAATTTTATCTGGTACCATTATTCAATTTAGGTATATTGCATAGGATGTGCCAACAATCATTTTTATAACCAATAATTCCACGATTTTGCTTGGGTAATCCCTTTTCATGGTGAACTTCAGGTCACAACAGTAACTATCAGTTGAACTGCACAGAGGTTTCTGAAGACAATGGCTTCTCCACACAAGCAGGTTGTATATAAATTCCAAATAGAACCTGGCATCACCCTGAAGGAATTCTAACTTCACACTGTTGGGGAAATTTACCAAGATGGCTTCAGAGTAGACTAACTACACAACACGTTTTTTAAAAAGACACATTTATTCAGCGTGACAATTAGACTATTACATTTAGCAATCAACAGCATGGGCACAAAAAAACATCTACATTGATACCCTTTGTTGGAATGCTTTACACTTTCCACAGAAGAGAAACTAAAATGACCTGTTATAAAACTCATCACAAATACAGTCCTTGAGTCTTTTGCCCATACACATGAGTATTTGTCTAAAGCATGTCTTCTTTGTAGCAGCTAGGCCCTGCCACCACTGTGCTTGACTGAGTTCACAAATCTGTTATAACCTGTAGTTTCGCTGTCAACTTCTCTGGCTCTCCTCTCCTGTTAAGCTTTGTTTCCTGGCAGTAATTAAAATCTTCTGCCACTGTCGTAGCTACCGCTGCTACTGGAACCACCATAGCCACCTTGGTGTCGTGGTTTGGCAAAGTATTGGCCTCCAACACCATAGGAGCCAGAGTTTCTGCCTCCAAAGTTTCCTACCTTCATGGTTCCAAAATTCGAAGATGATTGTTGTAATTGCCAAAATCATTGTAGCTTCCACCACCTCCAAAATTGCTTCCACTACCACCACCAAAGCCACCTCTGCCTCCATTGTTATAGCTGTCATAGCTGTCACTCCTGCCATAGCCACTGCCCTGGTTTCCATAACCCTGTCCACCACTTCCATAGCCCCTGCTTCCTCCAGAATAACCAGGGCCGCTTCCTCCATAACCACCATCATTACCAAAATCATTATAGCCATTCCCACTGCCGCCATACCCATCAGCACCACAGCTGCCACCAAAGCCACCATGATCACTGAAGTTTCCTCCACTACCAAAGTTGTCATTCCCACCGAAACTGTCTCCACAACCACCACCAAAGTTTCCAGAACCACTTTGTCCTCTTTGGCTGGATGAAGCACTAGCCATCTCTTGGTTTGACAGGGCTTTCCTAACTTCACAGTTGTGGCCATTCACAGTATGGTGTTTCTGAATGACAGTCTTATCCACAAAGTCATGGTCATCAAAGGTTACAAAGGCAAAGCCCCTTTTCTTCAATTTTTCTGTACTGTTGAAAATAATCTCTTAGGTGATGTTCTTCTGTGTCTTCTTTAATGCCAGCAACAAATGTCTTTTTCACAGTTGAGTGGGCACCTGGTCTTTGAGAATCTTCTTAGACAGCTCTCTTTGGTTCCACAACTCTTCATCCACCTTGTGTGGCCTTGCATTCATGGCTGCATCCACCTCCTCCACAGTGGCATATGAGACAAACCCAAAGCCCCTGGAATGTTTGGTGTTTGGATCTCTCATTATCACACAGTCCGTGAGCATTCCCCATTGCTCAGAATGGATCCTCGGGCTCTCATCGGTTGTTTCCAAGCTCAACCCTCCAATAAGAGCTTCCTCAGCTGTTCAGGCCCTTTTGGAGACTCTGACTTAGACATGATGGCAGGGGGAAGAGAGACTTTAATGATGCTTCCTCGGTGGCATCCACTGGCAGAAAGGCTAATTTTGTAATATTTTAAAATGTTAGTCAAGGTTTATATTCTCAAATGGTTCTTCAGTGTTTGACACAGAAACAGCCTTCCATGTTGTTTTTGATATTTACCTCTATGTCTCTGATTGTATGTTTGCATTACTACTTCATGATTCACTGCTACCACCACTAATATTTGTATTATTTATTGACTTTCCACTCTGGAATATGCAGATTTCACTGTGTTTACTCCCTTTCCCTCCATTACATATATGTTCTCTTTCCCTCCTTCCATCTTCCTATATTGTTACATTGCAATTCTGATTGGATCAATATCCAGTGTTTATATTATAATAACTGTAAAAGCCCAATACACAGCTAAGTCAGGTAATAAACTCTGGTAATAAACCTTTCTTTTCCTGTACAACTTTTATTTTTTCTCTTGAGTGAATAATTGTCTTGTTTCATTTATTTAGTAGTCTCTGTACTTATCACAAATTCAGCGCTACACTCATTGCCAGTTTTCTAATCTGTTAACCAGATGTTCAGACCTAAGAAGTATTTTGTCAGTTTCCTCCTGAAGAATCTTTTCCAGAGCCTTCTGACTTGATCTAATCTGAACCAGGTTCTCGCTATGCCTATTATAACGCTAACATTGGAGCATGTGCTCATAATACTGGGGTTCCCTTTACCTTCTTTCTGTGTTGGGAGTCCTTGTTGCCTGGATCCAGTGTTTTCCTTTGTTAACTCTTATTTTTGTGAAGCACATTCTCCAAGAGATTTCTAAGAAAGAACCCATGGGCGTAAATTTTTGAAGACTGCATACCTGAAAATGTCTTCAATCTTTCCTCACATTTGATGGATTCTGTAACTGGTCATAGAATTCTGTTTTGGGAATGATTTTCCTTCTGGATGTTGATAGTATTGCTTCATTGCCTTGTAGCTTGGTGTACTGTTGAAAAGCCCAAAGCCATTCTGATTCCTGACTAAATGTATGTGATGACTTTCTCCATATGTCTCCATTTCTTCTTTGGAAGTGTATAGGATATTCTTTTTGCCCCTAGAATTGTGACTCTTAGGTGTATCTTGGGTGTGTATGTTTTTATCCACTGTGCTGGAACAGGAATAATACTCAGTTTGGAAATTTGAGTTGTGGGAAGTTGCCTTGAATTATTTCATTAGTGTACCTCCCCTCTGACTTTGCTTTTAGAATTTCTGTTACTCTATAAATTCTTCTTTATTTCTGTTATTTAAATGTTCCTTAACTTTTAACTTTTGTCTCCTCATTTTGATCTAATTCATTTTGTTCTTTCTAGAATTTCTCAATTTTGCTTCTAATCTTGTTTTTATGTCATTTTTAATGTTTAAAAGCTTATTTTTTTGTTCTTTAAATGTTGTTTTTATTTAAAGCTATAATACCCCATCCTTAATGTAATATATTCTCTAATCTCCCTAAGAATATTGATAGCTTTTGTTTGTTTTGATTTTCTTCTCCCATGCATAGTCTATTTTCCTCACTGTTTGTTTTGGTCTCTAACTTTCATTTTAGAAATGTTCCTCAGATTTCTTGTAATCTGTGTTATTATGCTAATATTTAAGAGCAGGGAGCCTAAGAATTTGATTGTAAGCACTAGGTATGTGGATGGGGCTTTTTGACCCTGAGTTTTACTATAGGGGAATCTGAAGAAAAAATAAACTATTTATTTTTTTCTCTATGCTTGCACACCACTAAACACAACACTTGTGACACCAGATGTGTGAGGTTTTTCCCACACACCAAGCAATTCCTCAGCAGACACCAACTGTCTGTCTTACTATTCAATTTAATTCTGATACCACAGATTAAAGGTTCAGTGCTACAAGACTGCCACCACTTCAGATGCCAACCACAAGTAGTAGGTTGTTACCTATACTTCTGACTAACTGGCCATAAATCAAGCATTCCCACGACCTTTTTCTTGCGTTCTGTTAATTTGCTAGAACAGCTCACAGACTCTGGGAAACACTTTACTTACATTTACTGGTTTATTCATAAAGGATATAGTTTAGGATACAGATGAACAGCCAGATGCAGAGATGCATAGGGCAATGTATGTAGGAAGGCGGCACAGAGCTTCCAGGCTGTCTCTCAGCGCACCATCCTCCAGGCAGCTCCATGTGATCAGCGATCTGGAAGCTCTCTGAACCCTGTCCGTTCGGGTTTTCATGGAGGCTTCATTATGTAGGTGTGATTGATTATGTCATTGGCCATTGGTGAGCAACTAAACTTTCAGCACTTTTCCATTTCCAGGTAGCTAGGGGATAGGGCTATAAGTTCCAACCCTCTAATCACAAGGTTGGTTTCCCTGGCAACCATTGCCCATCCCAAGGCTATCCAGGAGCCCACCAAGGGTCACCTCATTAGAACAAAAGATGTTTCTGTCACTCAGGAAATTACAAAGGTCTTAGGAGCTCTGTCTCTGGAACTGGGGTCAAAGACCAAATGTTAGAACAAAAGATTCTCCTGGCACTCCTATCTACAAGAGTATTGGGAGCTCCATCTTGGGAACCAGGGGCAGAGAACAGATATTTA